>NC_000012.12:112157097-112308612 GCF_000001405.40 Homo sapiens
GTCTTTGCATGTGAGATGGGTCTCCTGAATACAGCACACTGATAGGTCTTGACTCTATCCAATTTGCCAGTCTGTGTCTTTTAATTTGGGCATTTAGCCCATTTACTTTTAAGGTTAATATTGTTATGTGTGAATTTGATCCTGTCATTATGATGCTAGCTGGTTGTTTTGCCTGTTAGTTGATGCAGTTTTTTCCTAGTGTCGATGGTCTTTACAATTTGGTATGTTTTTGCAGTGGTTGGTCCTGGTTTTTCCTTTCCATATTTAGTGCCTCCTTTAGGAGATCTTGTAAGGCAGGCCTGGTGGTGACAACATCTCTCAGCATTTGCTTGTGTGTAAAGGATTTTATTTCTCCTTTGCTTATGAAGCTTAGTTTGGCTGGATATGGAATTCTGGGTTGAAAATTCTTTTCTTTAAGAATGTTGAATATTGGCCTCCACTGTCTTCTGGCTTGTAGGGTTTCTGCAGAGAGATCTGCTGTTAGTCTGATGGGCTTCCCTTTGTGGGTAACCCGCCCTTTCTGTCTGGCTGCCCTTAACATTTTTTCCTTCATTTCAACCTTGGTGAATGTGATGATTATGTGTCTTGGCGTTCCTCTTCTTGAGGAGTATCTTTGTGGTGGTCTCTGTATTTCCTGAATTTGAATGTTGGCCTGTCTTGCTAGGTTGGGGAAGTTCTCCTGGATAATATCCTGAAGAGTGTTTTCCAACTTGGTTCCATTCTCCCTGTCACTTTCAGGTACACCAATCAAATGTAGGTTTGGTCTTTTCACATAGTCCCATATTTCTTGGAGGCTTTGTTCATTCCTTTTCATTCTTTTTTCTCTAATCTTGTCTTCTCACTTTATTTCATTAAGTTGATCTTCAATCTCTGATATCCTTTCTTCCGCTTGATCGATTCAGCTGTTGATAGTTGTGTATGGTTCACGAAGTTCTCATGCTGTGTTTTTCATCTCCATCAGGTCATTTATGTTCTTCTCTAAACTGGTTATTCTAGTTAGCAATTCCTGTAACCTTCTTTCAAGGTTCTTAGCGTCTTTGCCCTGGGTTAGAACATGCTCCTTTAGCTTGGAGGGGTTTGTTATTACCCACCTTCTGAAGCCTACTTCTGTCAATTCATCAAACTCATTCTCCATCCAGTTTTGTTCTCTTGCTGGGGAGGAGCTGTGATCCTTTGGAGGAGAAGTGTTTTGGTTTTTGGAATTTTCAGCCTTTTGGCGCTGGTTTTTCCTTATCTTCGGTGATTTATCTACCTTTGGTCCTTGATGTTGGTGACCTTTGGATGGGGTTTCTGTGTGGATGTTGTTTTTGTTGATGTTGATGCTATTCCTTTCTGTTTGTTAAGTTTTTCTTCTAACAGGCCCCTCTGCTGCAGGTCTGCTGGGGTTTGCTGGAGGTCCGCTCCAGACCAGTATTACCAGCAGAGGCTGCAGAATAGCAAAGATTGCTGCCTGTTCCTTCCTCTGGAAGTTTTGTCCCAGAGGGGCACCCACGCGATGCCAGCCAGAGTTATCCTGTATAAGGTGTCTGTCGGTCCCTGCTGGGAGGTGTTTCCCAGTCAGGAGGCGTGGGGCTCAGGGACCCACTTGAGGAGGCAGTCTGTCCGTTAGCAGAGCTCAAGTGCTGTGCTGGGAGATCTGCTGCTCTCTTCAGAGCTGGCAGGCAGGGAGTTTAAGTCTGCTGAAGCTGTGCCCACAGCTGCCCCTTCCCCCAGGTGCTCTGTCCCAGGGAGATAGGAATTTTATCTATCAGCCCTTGACAGGGCTGGTGCCTTTCTTTCAGAGATGCCCTGCCCAGAGAGGAGTCTAAATAGGCAGTCTGGCTACAGCGACTTTGCCGAGCTGTGGTGGGCTCCACCCAGTTCGAACTTCCTGGCAGCTTTGTTTACACTGTGAGGGGAAAACCCACCTACTGAAGCCTCAGTAATGGCAGGCGCCTCTCCCCACACCAAGCTCGAACATCCCAGGTTGACTTCAGACTGCTGTGCTGGCAGTGAGAATTTCAAGCCAGTGGATCTTAGCTTGCTGGGCTCCATGGGGGTGGGATCTGCTGAACTAGACCACTTGGCTCCCTGGCTTCAGCCCACTTTCCTGGGGAGTGAACTGTTCTGTCTTGCTGGCATTCCAGGTGCCACTGGGGTATGAAAAAACTCCTGCAGCTAGGTCGGTGTCTGCCCATACGGCCACCCAGTTTTGTGCTTGAAACTCAGAGCCCTGGTGGCGTAGGCACTGGAGGAAATCTCTTGGTCTGCAGGTTGTGAAGACTGTGGGAAAAGCATAGTATCTGGGCCGGAGTGCACCGTTCTTCCCGGCACAGTCCCTCATGGCTTCCCTTGGCTAGGGGAGGGAGTTTGCTGACCCCTTGTGCTTCCTGGGTGAGGCCATGCCCCACCCTGCTTCAGATCACCCTCTGTAGGCTACACCCACTGTCTAACCAGTCCCATTGAGATGAGCCAGATACCTCAGTTAGAAATGCAGAAATCACCTGCCTTCTGTGTTGGTCTCGCTGGGAGCTGCAGACCAGAGCTGTTCCTATTCGGCCATCTTGCCACCCTTCCAAAGTTAGTGTTTATGAAGTACAAGAAAGGTGGAGTTGAGAGCATGAGAATAAAGCGGCTCTGGGTGAGGACTACCATGGAACAGTAGGAGGGGACAAGCAGGTCACAGAGAACTGAGATTATCCGGAGTATAGCCAACCTGGGCTCCCTGGCCAGGGAGGCAGCTGTGCAAGGACCTGAGTGTTGATCATGGACAGCAAGACTCAGCAAGTCCTCACCTCTTTCCTGTATGTGCCTTCTGCACAAGGTAGGTCTACATCCACTGCCTGCTCCTGAAGGAGGAGCTGTGTCTAAGAGGGGCCCAGACTCTGCCACGATAACAATCCGCTTGAGGAAAATGCCCACACCAGGCCCAAGCGCATAGACTAGCTGCCAGGACAAAAAGTGGGCAGGGGATGTAGGGTTAGGTTTAACTTTGATTTTGGATTCCCCTGCCTTCGTAATTTCTACATGGAATGCACAGACTGAAGAGTCAGGTTTGGGGAAGGGTAGTTTAAAAACCTCATGGAGTAAGAATCACGTCAAATGCCAAGAGACCATAATAATTAGAAACACTTTAATTCCTAGCCACTTGGCAGCACTTAAATATCAGAGCCATCCAAGCATGCCAGCCTTTGAACTTGCTCAGCAAGAGTAGATGATCACACAACTCTTAAGGTAAATCAAAATTAGATGAAGGTTATTTATTGGTGTGACTTTTTTCCTTTAGTGAGCTTCCTTTACACAGCATGGTGTAAATAGCATCAGATTGAATGAAAAGTTTGTTAAATGCAACCATAAATAATTATAATAAATATACATCAAGTAACTTTACAGCACACATTTTTTAGGGCCAAGGTTTGGATCTGTCTGGACCTCAATGTGCTCTCGGAGAAGCAGCCACGTTAGCAGCAGATACCTTACAGCTTGTCATCTACTCAAGTGATGGCCAACAGAAGCTTCTGAACTCCTCCTGGGGAGGTAGCTGACAAGTCCATTCAAGGGATGAGGACTAAAGAGAACCAAGAATTTAAAGATGTAGGGAGGAAAAACCACTTCTAATAAATCGAAAGGCTCTTTCATTATGCAGAAATGAAAATAAAAGGATCCTTATTGTCAGGAATACATCCTGGCTGTGACCCCCCACACTCAAAGGAGCTGTGGCCGCTGGGGAGGCAGCGGGCTGACCATCTTCTTTCAAAGCAGGGGAACTGCTTGCGGGCACTCACCTCCAGAGTTGACTTGCATCCAATACAACTGATGCAGCTGTCATGATTAACCCTAGGTCGATTTCATCCTTAGGTCAGGGGATCCTTTCTATAATGGTCCTTGATGCATTTCCTAAGAGTTACAGGGAGGAGATGGATGCTAACGGCTCTATCTCTAGAATTCACAATCTTTCCAGCAGGCCAGGGCACATCTTCTTTCTTGGACCAGCATCCACACTCCAAAACCTTCTAGACAGCACTCACTCAAAACTTCCAATATTCACAATATTATACAATAAATACAGCGATGTGATTCTGTGAGACCTGGCAAGGCCCAAAGTGACAGTGTCCAACAAGATGGCCTGTGCTGCTCATGAACAAAGTACCACTGGACAAAGACCTATTTGGGGCAAAGATGCAGTGGGTGAGCCTGGAGGCAGCTCAGCCCTGGCATACACACTTACATGGGGTGATGGGGAGTGCTGGGTGGGGCTGGCCAGAGGGGCAGAAGGACCCCCCTGGAGTCTCCATCTGGACTTGAGTGTCTGGGTCACTAAAGCAGACCCCAAATTGAGCAGAGCACCTCAGTCCACTCTTTTGAAAATGGGTGTGGCCCTTTCCCTTGTCCTACGTCACTGCAGGGAGGAAGGGCCATTTCTGAGCATTTTGTGCTCCTTTTTTGTGGGGTAGGCTTGAATCATGTGCTTTCCTCTCAACCAGAGTCTCGGAGGAGGCCCCCACCTGAGCATTGTCCCCCATCTCTGGGTGTCTTCTCACCCCCTGCGGCTGGGATGCACCCAGCTAGGCTCTGTGAACTAAGGTCGGGATGAACCCTTAAGTCTCCTGCTCCCGAGGAGGCCTCAGATGAAAACTGTCAGACCAGGGCCCAAAGAGACAGACGGCAGATAGGGAGGTATGGGAGGGGCAGGGGAACCACTGTGGGCTTTTCCTCAGAAAAACCAAGACCGGGAGCAAGTTCTAAAGCAGGAAGATGAACACATAAAGCTCCCTGTGTGTCTCACGTGTTTGGGCAATTGGCCCAGCCACCTCTATGTGGAGGGAGGCCTGCTGGGGCTGCCTCTGGAGCAACTCCAGCTCGAGGCTGGAGGGCAGGGCTGGCCACAGGCTTGTCTGTGGAGGCGCTCTGCTGAAAGCACGAGCGCTCTGTGTGGCCGAGGTCATTGTACCCCCGGCTTCCTGCTGGGTGGTTCTGTGATGGGGAACCAGCTGGGGCCTTATGGCATTAGAATCTGGTGGCCATGAGGGACAATGTCCAAGAAGATCAAATTAGACACAAACTGTCTGGGAACTAAACTATCCTACAAATAGACCACAAACAGGCAGCAAAAGAACCAACCCATCACGAAACGTACAAAGACAAAAGGTTAAGTCTTCCAGGAGGCCCTGGAATGTGGACGAAAGTTTGGAAAAGCAAAATGTTGCCAACTCCTCACGCAGGGCCCTGGAGGGACGGGCCGCAGTGGTGGCTTCCCAAGCCAGCAGAGTGGGTGCCTCAGTGACAGCCTAATTCTGGGGCTCCCTCCCATCAGCCACTGAGGGGGTCTTCACGGTAGTGAATGGCACAACGAAGTTTCTCCAGCATGATTTCCAGAGAGGAGTACTGGGGAAGCTTGATCATGAACATGCAGGTCTCCACGCGGATGTAGCGAGAGTCTGGGGAACCTACAAGAAACCGAGCCAGCATCAGAGGGTTGGGCCCACATCTGTGAGGCTCCCAGGGAAGCTGGGCTGGCCTCTGCTTCCAGGTTTGCCTCCTTGGGTAGCCCCAAGCCAATCCTGGGGCCCAGCAGGAGGGGGATGAGGGCCTGGGAACCTGCGAGATGTTCTTGGAGGGAAAAGGGGAGAGAGCTGCTGGACAGCGCATGTGCCAAACTGCTGATGGGTTTGTCTGCCCAGCAAATTGTTTCTTTTTTTTTTTTTTTAACCATTTTTCTGCATTTAAAAGTTAGAAGATTTGAAGCATTCTGGATTTTCAGCTTCTTTTAAGATATGAGAAAGTATCTAACAGCAGGCCTGTATGGCTGGTTCCTGCCGGGCCCTAATCCTCAATGATGTCTGAGTTTTGGCACGTGGGGCTCCTGTTCATTGTTCTCCCTTCACATGGGGCCTGGCAGCCCCAGTTCCAAACAGAGAAAGGCTAGTGTGTCCCTACTTGGGACATGGCCAGGGGAGGGCGGTACCTGCTGTGCCATCTGGGGGGGCGATCTTCATGGGGTACGGGGGCACATGGGCAGTGTCGGGACCCCCATCTTTGCAGGGGCAGGTGAACGGGATGCGCTCCTGGTTGCAGGCAAACTTGATGAACTTGCACAGCTCCTCCTGGGTGAACATCTCCAGGGCCCCCCAGAAGAACTCGATGTGCTGGTCCGTCTCCATCAGCCCCACTTGGTACATGGTGTGGGCCTGGGGAGGAGAGGTCCAGGTGTCAGGAGCCCTGGAGCCCCACCTACCCAGTGCCTCCCCAGCCCTGGGGTCTGCAGGCCAGGCCCAATCCTGGGGCAGGGTGCAACGTGTGGGCTGTGAGCACAGGGAGATGACAATGATGACAATGATACAGGTCTGTGGCAAGGACAGAGCTGAGACAGGCCACTGCCGATGCCTGCTGCTGGAGTTGAGGGTGACAGGGAGGCACGCCTGGGGCTCACCACCTCCCCGCCCAGCCTGGCCCTGGGATGTCTACCTTGAGGAACTCGAGGTTGATGTAGGGGAGGCCGCAGGTGCGCAGCTCCATCTCCAGTGGGCTGAGCATGGTCAGCAGCTGCAGGGGGATGATGGAGCCCAGGCCGGCCCGCACGGCCGTCACGCACTCCACATTCTGCAGCTCCCGCAGCCGCAGGCTCCGGATGGCTGCCGCGTAGATGTCCTTGTTCTCCCACCTGCCCGGGTGAGGAGCACAGGTGAGGGAGAACACCGCCGAAGAGGCTGGGTCTGGGGGCCACACCCACTCAGCTGGAGGTCCCGGATCCTCTCTTGGGAGAGGCCTGGGGCCCAGCCGCCCTGGTCATCCCAGTCCTTTCCTGCCTCTGGTGCCGCCGCCTCAGAGCTGCTGTTTTCTTAGTAAACCCCTTCTGCTGAGGACCCTCTTTCTTGGCACCCACCATCCTGCCTCATCTCCCTCTCCTGGTGAAATCCACCTGTCACCTGACCTAGGTCCTCGTGTCATTGCCCAGGAACAGATGCTGCTGTCATACCCTGGCTGGCTGGCCGGGCCAGCCCCTGCCAGCCCCTGACACGCGCACACACTCACGCCACAAGGATGTGCCGGCCCCGGCTGCACAGCTCCACCTCCTCGCCCGTCATGGTCAGGTAGGTGAACCTGCAGCAGGGCTTGTTGGGGCTGTCAGGGCTCTCCGTGGCCAGGTGCTGGGAGGCGATCTCAGCGCACAGGGCCTCCAGCTCGGTCTCATCATTGATCTGGAGGGTGGAGGCAGAGCGAGGCTCATTATGAGGCCATGGGAGGTGGAACCCTGATCCCCAGGTGGCTGGGTAAACCCCAAGCGCAGCTGGTGGGGTCTACCCTCGGCCGTGTAGATGAGCATGTGACACAGCTTTCGCCAATCAGAACCTGCCATCAGTTCAGGGCCGGGCGTGTGACCCAGGCCAGGCTAAAGAGACCCACATTCCAGGCCTCTTCCCACGTCTGTTTGGAGGCAGCGATCCTCTCTCACTGGCATGGACCGACTATGATGGGAAACCCTTTACCACTGGAGGCCACCTCTGCCCGTGCGCTGGGAGAGACTGCTTGAGGCTAATTATGCTTGCTTTTTTTTTTTTTTGAGACGGAGTTTTGCTCTTGTTGCCCAGGCTGGAGTGCAATGGCGCAATCTTGGCTCGCTGCAACCCCTCGCCTCCTGGGTGCAAGCAATTATCCTGCCTCAGCCTCCCGAGTAGCTGGGATTACAGGCGCCCACCACCATGCCTGGTCAATTTTTGTATTTTTAGTAGAGACTGGGTTTCACTATGTTGGCCAGGCTGGTCTCTAACTCCTGACCTCAGGTGATCTACCTGCCTCAGCCTTCCAAAGCGCTGGGATTACAGGTGTGAGCCACTGCACCCAGACCGCTTTTTCTTTTTTTTTTTTTTGAGACAGATTCTCGCTCTGTCAGCTGGAGTGCAGTGGCGCAATCTCAGCTCACTGCAACCTCTGCCTCCTGGGTTCAAGCAATTCTCTGCCTCAGGCTCCCGAGTAGCTGGGATTACAGGCACCCGCCACCATGCCTGGCTAATTTTTGTATTTTTAGTAGAGACGGGGTTTCACCACCTTGGCCAGGCTGGTCTTGAACTCCTGACCTCGTGATCTACCCGCCTCAGCCTCCCAAAGTGCTGGGATTACAGCTGAGCCACCGCGCCTGTCCTCTTTCTTTTTTTTTTTTTAAAGCAATCTGGATCAGAGGCCTGAGACCAATACCAGATGATACTGTTTGAACACCTGGATTTGGCCCTGCCTGAAGTCAAACCCATCATGCTTTTTGTTTTAAGAGCAACTAATTTTTTTTTTTTTTTTTTTTGAGATGAAGTCTTGCTCTGTCGCCCAGGCTGGAGTGCAGTGGCGCGATATCAGCTCACTGCAAGCTCCGCCTCTCGAGTTCACACCATTCTCCTGCCTCAGCCTCCCAAGTAGCTGGGACTACAGGCGCCCGCCACCATGCCTGGCTAATTTTTTGTATTTTTAGTAGAGACGGGGTTTCACTGTGTTAGCCAGGATGGTCTCAATCTCCTGACCTCGTGATCTGCCCACCTTGGCCTCCCGAAGTGCTGGGATTACAGGCGTGAGCCACCGCGCCCGGCCTAAGAGCAACTCATTTTAAACAATTTTTTTCTAAAGCTTGTTGGAGTTGGGATTTCTGTCCCTTGCCACCAGACAGCCCTGACTTAGTCCTGTCTGTGGAGGTGTACAGGCTGTCGCCTCCCCACATATGGCGACCAGGATCAGCGTCCAGGGGAAACTGATTCGCACTGTGCTTGCTGGGCTACCAGGGAGACGACAGGGTCGGACCCAAAGGAGACTGACTGCAGCTTGGGGACAGTGACAGGTGGATGGACATTCGGGTCTAAGCCTGGAGTCTCCTTAGTAGCAACCTCCCTACCCCTTCACCGCAGACACTCCACTGATACAAGTCGAGAGCACTTCTTCCTAGTATGCACCCCACAACACCATGTGGTTCTGCATCCCATACCCTCTGGGGCCTTGGCCATCCCTGTAGCCAGAAGCCTCAGCTGGCCTGTCTACCGGGACCCCGCCTCACATCCCCTGCTGCCCCAGCCTGTGCTGCACCCAGAGCCCCAGGAGGACTCCTCGGAGGAGTGCAGGAGACGCATAAACCCCCAGCCCACTGTGGGTGTTCTTCCACCCTTTAGACAATGCCTTGTCATCCCTGTTTCTACCGAGAAGCCACTGGCATCCGGGACTCTGGCTCTGCTATTGTCTTGCAATGGCTGCCCTGAGTGACCCAGGGGGACAATGGCAGAGACCAGAGACCTGGCCAGGCAGTGCCTCAGTCGGCCATGGAGTATTCTGCCGGCATAGGCAGAAGCCGCTGGCACCTCCTTCACCTGAGGCCCAGGAGAGAGCAGCTTCTGCCGGGCCTCAGGCACGACGTCCACTCTCGTGGCCTTGAGGGGCGCTGGGTGGGACGTTGCCCTCCACACTCAGCCAGGATGGCTCTCTCAGCTGTAGGGCACGTGGTGCTGGAGAGCCCGGAAGTCAGAGCAGGCAGCCCTGGGCTCCTGGTGGCTCTGCTCCCTGCCAGCTGTGAGGGCCCAGGCAAGTCACCTCCCTTTGGTGAGCCTCACTTTCCTCCTGGCCTTGTGATGATGGAATAAAGCCCTCCGCCCTCCAACATGAAGGAGACGAGCCTGGACACTCCCTGAGGACAGGGCGAGTGCCCAGAGCCTGGCTGGCCCGTGACTGGGCCTCAGTGACGGCCACTGAGTGAACGGAAGGACTGTGGACTCCATCTCCCTCCAGGGGGGCACTGGGCAACAGCACCATGCTGTCAACATCTGTGCGTGGCGTACGCATGCCCTGGACAGGCAGGAAGGGCTCCATCCTGATGCCTCCCCCTTGGTGGACCTCAGGTGGTCCCAGGGCTGACTCCTGTGCTCTGAGTCCCTGAAAAAACTCTTAACCTTCACCCCTACAGCTGTTCTCCCAGTGCCTGTTCACTCAGCTCCAGGAGCCCTTGCCCATGGCCAGGCAATGAGCACCAATGTGGGAGGGGAGGGCCAGCAGGGCTGGTCATGTCACCTCCAATCTCTGCTGCCAGCAGGGAGGGAGGCCAGAGGCCTCTGTCCCCATGAAATAAGCCTTCCTGGCACATGGCTCACACCCCTAAGGTCCTCTGTGGGATCCCAACCCAGCCTCAGCGGGGAGCTCGGGTCTGCATGGAGGCCTAAGCAAGGTGGCGGGGAGGCCCCGGGTTCTGCAGCCCCCCAGAACTGTGCCTTGCACTCACGCTCTCAAACTTCTTGACGTAATTGTAGGTGAGGATATCCGCTTCCTGCAGGTCTTGCTCAGGGTCCAAGGGCTCGCCCACCAGCGTCTTCCAGAAGGAGGGCAGGAGGTCCAGGGGCAGCGGGACGTCTGCCCGAATTGCAATCCCCAGCAGCTGCCCCAGGAAGTGCAGCAGCTGCTCCTCCCCGTAGGTGATGGGGCTCGGGGTCAGGATATACTTGCCCTGGAAGTGGAGGTGGGCATGAGGTGACCTGGGCGTGGGCCTCTGTGCCCGCCAGGGAACATGTGTTTCAAGCCACCATACCCTGTGGCAGGCAGGAGAGAAGTCACTGCAAGCTCCCAGAGCTTGCCCATCCAGTGAGGCAAGGACCTGTCCCCACAGATTGGGAGGGTTTCTGAAACGGTTTGGCTTTGATGAGACACACACTGCCCGCCACCCCAGCCACTGCGCAGGACATGAGCTCGGGGGCGTGGAGCCTCCTCCCGGCCTCTGCCTACCTTGTTCTTATTGACAGCTGAGCTGGGGCACAGCAGCAGCAGCGACAGCGAGGAACTCTGCAGCTCCTTACACACCTGCCACAGGAAGTGGCGGAAAGAGCCGCCTGTAGGACAGACGAGACACATGGGCACCTGGGGTGTCCCGGCGGGAGGCGACACCGTTCCCTCCCTCTCACCTGCTGGCTGGAGCGGCTACTCCTTCCACGGCCTACCTGCCGCTGTGGCGGGGTAGAAAGAAGCCACCCCAGGCCTGGGAGGCCTCAGGTCCAATCCTGCTCTCCACTCACTAGTGGGGCCACCCAGGGATACCACGGAGGGCAAGATGTCCCTGAGGCTCAGTCACCTGTCTGTCAAATGGGAGAGTGACCGTACCTACCCCGAAGGCCATTCGAAGATTCAGTGAGGTCACCGCAGGTCCCCACACAGGCAACCTCTCACAGCTGCAAGCCTGCCTGAGTTGTGGACTTGTTTGGTCCATGTCTGTCCCTCTGGGCCAGGCTGAGGGCAGGACCACCTGTTTCACTCAGCACTGCCTCCCCCAGTGCCCGGGCTCGCGTATGTCCGATGAATGCGTGAGTGAATGGACAAATGTGTGAATGTGCAAAGGGCAACGGTAACTGCTCATCCTCTCCCGCCGCCATTCAAGATGGGCCTTTGGTTTTGTTGTAAATCTCCTCTGGCCTTCCCTGTGTTCCCTATCGGTACCCTGAGGTCAGGGAGCTCTGAGCACAGCTGTGCCCACACCCTGCTTGGTAAGAGCCATGTGGAAACCCAGTGTGGGGGCCCAGTGCAGGGGCAGATGGTGGGCCTGGCCCTCACCTCTGCTTCAAGGAGAAGCAGGAGCGTCCTGACTGCTGACGCCTGGAAGGCCAGGGGCCTGGACCCTGGAACCCCAGCTGGCTGCATGACCTTGGGAAGTGACTTGGCTTTGTAGAGTCCCAGTTTCCCTATGTGTAGGATGGGCCAGGGCTGGCACTCTGGGCAGGTTCGCTGCTGTGGGAAGGATAAGGTGTCGAGCGTGAGTCTGGGCTGTCAGTGAACCAGAGTTGCTCTCAGAGAGGCCTAGGAGGCCTGCCCATAGGATGCCAGGGTCCCCCGTCTGGGAGGCAGCTGCGTTCCCGTGGGGGCAGATCAGAGGAAAGGGGAGAAGGAGCTGGGTGGGGGCTCCCTCCTGCCCGGACAGCCTTTCCTTCCAGTGTGCCCGGCTGTGGAGAAACTAGCTTTCTTCTCCATCTGCAGTGGACACGTTTCCTGAATGTCTGGGGCTAAGCATAAGAGGTCACAAGGGAGCACTTGCTCAGCTGCCAGTCCTCATCCCTGAAGAGTGCTATGGTGCCATCTTAACCAAGGACTCCCCAACACCCTGCCTCTCATGGGGCACACACAAGCCTTTAGGCCCACCAACTCCTCAGCCAGGGCCCTTCCCGGGGAGGGGGCCAATCAGCACCGAGGAGGGCCCTGAGCAGAGGTGCCGTCCCCAAGCCCAGCAGGGACTGGCCGAGGCTTCCACAGGGGGCTGGTCTGGAGGACACGGGCGTGAGGCCACTCTGGGTGCAGACCTGGCTTCTGCAGCACAAGTGCTGAGGATGTGGCTTTTACTCTTGGAAATGGAGGTCTTGGGCAGCTGGGGCTAAGGCTGGACACTAAACACAGCTCCTCCAGCGTGGAGCCTGGCGGGCCACCACTTACTGGTGCCATGGACCTCCTCGCCAGTGAAGCGGATGTTGAAGGCATATGTGGGGTCACCGCCACTGGCCAGCTTGACGCAGAGCTGAGACGACGGCACTGAGGCCAGCTGCCTGGCAGCCTGACAGAAGTAGGAGTTTTCAGAAGCTCTGATTTCCCCTGGAAAGTGAGATGAGCTGATCAAAGCACCCCGCCGTGGCCGCCCTCTCCCCTCCCCTTGAGGACAGACCCTGGGCCTAGCAGGCCTGTGCCTGTCCCTGGACCCCTGCTCCCTCGCTCGGCCCCCTGTGCCTTCTCTGCCCTCAGAACACCTTAGAGCCTTCTGTGCCTTAGCACTCATGGCTCCCACTTTTGGAACCTGCCCTCCTGGGCCCCCAGTGCTTGGCCCCTTCTCATCTTCTAGAGGCTTCCCTCTGCCTCTTGGGGAGGTCCTCGCCCCCCAACTCCTCTCTCGTTTCCTCTGCGCATATCCCCCTTCTGTCTATACGCTGTGGCAGAGACTCTGGGGAGCCTCCCCAGTGACCTTCTCTCCCTTTCCTTTGATGCTGGAATCCCCATTTTTGGCAGGCACATGGCTGATCAGAGCAAAGCCTGCCCCACCTGACCCCATGCAGCTGGGTGGGCCCCCGGGAGCCAAGCTCCTTCTGCTATGCCCCTTCCCTGAGCTCCTGAGGGGACCTTCCAGCAGGAAGCCACACACCAGGGCGCTCCAGCAGAACGACAGGAGGAACCGCTGCACCAGCCCTGGACCCCCTTCTTTTATGTTCCAGAAATCCGCTAGTGTGTTTAGGCACTGCCATTTTGCATTTTTTGCTCTCCGCAGCCAACCCCACCTCCCACAATTTCCAGTGGGTCCAAGGTGATCTCAGGGGCCGCGTGGTCCGCTGTCCTCTGCACAGTGGCATTCAGCACTCGATTCATCACGGTCACCTTCGTGTCATAGAAGATCAGCCCTAAGGAGAGGAACGTGGGAGAGGCTTGGGTGGGGCTTTGTCCCTTCCTTCCCAGTCCCCCCAAGACTCTCTTCCGGTCCCTGGGTGTGGCACTCTCAGGCCCCCTGGTGGCAGTAGAGCCGGGCCCTGACTGTGGAGGGTGGTGTGTCAGCATCCGCCCAGCATATACCCTTTGTCATTCCCAGGAGACATCCAATTTCTAGAAACAATGCAAACAAACTAGAGTTGCAAAATGGAATGTAGAAAATGATACCTATTTTTAATTTAAAAAAAGACAAAAAGCTGTGTGTGTGCACACATGTGTCTGTTTATATGTCAAGAGAAAAGTCTGGAAGGAGAGAGACTCATCTGTTAACAATGTCACTTCTGGGATGTAGGGATGTGGAGGCCAGATAGTAAACAGACCTTCATATATGATTTCTAATTAATTTGAAAACCTTAAAAATAATTTTATTTTTCAGAGCATGTTACTTTTATAATTAAAGTAACTTCCCTTGGGTGGGCCTGTTGCTCCAGAGGAGCCCTGCCTGCTACATGAAAGGTTGAGGTGGGGTGGCATCTTCCTGGCGGGGCTGCCCAAGGACGCTGCCCGTGGATTCTGGCCCTGGTGTCTTGCAGGTCACCTCTCTCTTCCTGCAGGGCCAGGGCAGGTGCAGGCACTGACCTTTGGCCTCCTTCAGCAGGGCGGCGATGCTGTGGGTATACATGGGTGTCTGGCGCAGCTCCACCAGGGGCAGGAAGAAGGTCTCCAGTGTGGTGTTGAGGGACTGCAGCAAGGCGAAGCGCAGGCGCAGGCTCTCGATGGGCACGTCTGAGGGCGCAGGAGCAGTCAGGCTGAGATCTCGGCCAGGTGGCTGAGATGCCTGACTCACAGGCAACACAGGCAACCCTATCACTGCGAACAGGATTGGTGGATTTTTTACCTGGGACCCTGGAGATGCTGTCAGTGAGTGAGCGGCCCCCAATGTGCCTGTGCCTATGCCAAGCAGACACAAAGGGCGAGGGCCTGGCTGGCCAGATGGAGGTGCTGGCTCTTAAGGAGTCCAAGGCCCCTCATCTACCTTCAGGGCCATGCCAGGGCTGTGCACTACGTTAGTTTTTGACTTACAATTTTGAAATAATAATATAGGAGGTTGCAAAAATGGCACAAAGAGTCCCGTGTACATTTCTCCCAGTGTCCCCCAATGGTGATGTCATATCAAAACCAGGAAACTGTGCCACTGGCACACTGCCCTTCAGTCCTTCACCCTTCTCACTGTGACAGAAGGAAGTCAGGACAACCTCTTGTCCACCTTTACCTCCTTGGCACCCAGGAAAGAGCCAGGGCTCTGTGTCTGTTGCTGATGAGGCAAGCGGCTGAGCACAGCCCCTGGGACGAGTGTAATGAACTGCTCGCCAATACCTTGTAAACGGGGGGCGTCTGGGAATTAACAATTTATTTTTTGTGTGCAATCCTAGTTTTTTTTTGGAGACGGAGTTTTGCTCTTGTTGCCCAGGCTGGAGTGCAATGGCGTGACCTTGGTTCACCACAACCTCCACCTCCCGGGTTCAAGCGATTCTCCTGCCTCAGCCTCCCAAGTAGCTGGGATTACAGGCATGCGCCACCACGCCCGGCTAATTTTGTACTTTTAGTAGAGATGGGGTTTCTCCATGTTGGTCAGGCTAGTCTCAAACTCCCGACCTCAAGTGATCCGCCCGCCTTGGCCTCTCAAAGTGCTGGGATTACAGGCATGAGCTAGCGCGCCTGGCCCAGAGAACGGCTTTCTCTCTTTGGAAACACAGGGGCACCTGAATGGGCCTTCCTGCAATCCTAGCTTTTAACAAAAACATGGTGTTCCCCATTATGAAGGCTAATGCCTCTACTGCAAGTTATCAGACTATAAATGCTTCTCACTCCCCATGGCAGCCTGGCCTCAGCGGGGCCTCCAGGCAGCGGCCTGGGCATTCCCCGCAGCCGTGCATTTCTGTATCTGCTCCCTGGCTTTGTTGTCACTGGCATTAAAAAAGGCCCCAGACTAATTAGGCCACAGTCCTGGCTCCCTGCCTTGCCCTCCCTGTTTCGTCAGCCCACTCTTCCTTGCACACCTGGCGCATAGCAGGTGTTCATAAGTGTTCGTTCGATGGACGTCTAAATGAATCTAGCCCTTGTAAATGCCCCTTGTCATGGGGCATGCCCGCATCAGGCAGCAGGGGAGGGGATAGGCCCAGGGCCACATACTCAGGAGACAGGCCACTCTGGGGTCAGCAGCATCCGCGGGGTCCAGGTACACCTCATGGGGATGGAGCCGTGCGGGTGTGATGGCGAGGTGGCGGCATAGCTGGTTGATGTACTGCACAAGTGCCACGTCCATCTCCAGGGTCCACTTTCTTGAGGCCTTCTGTGCATGTCGGACATCGATGCATGCGCACCTTGGGGTGGGGACAGGGGGAGAGGGGCAAAGTGAGGCAGGGCACACCGGGATGACTGTTGCATTTCTCTTACAGAGCCCTGTCCTCAGCTCCTGGAGCACATTCAGAAGACGGCCTCGCCTTCCAGGTTGTTTCTTGGTGCCTGGACAGCTCCTCATGGGGAAAGCTCTTTCAAAAGAAGCAAGCCAAGCATGCCGGTGGGAGTGGGAATGCTGCATCCTTCTGGGAGGTGGCACCATGCACCCACCCATGCCTCACTCCTGTGTGTCGGCAGCAGCACGTGAGGGTGAAGGAGGAGCTCCTAATAGCATCAGCCTGCAGTGTGTCACACAACTTTTTTCTCCTTAGAGACAAAATCTTGCTCTGTTGCCTGGGCTGGAGTGCAGTGGGGCAATCATAGCTCACTGCAGCCTTGAACTCCTGGACTCAAGCGATCCTCCCACCTCAGCCTCCCCAGTAGCTGGGACCACAAGTGCGAGCCACTTTGCTTGCCTAATTTTAAAATTTTAATTTTTTAATTTTTTTATTTTTATTTATTTATTTTTTGAGATGGAGTCTCGCTCTATCGCCCAGGCTGGAGTGCAGTGGTGCGATCTCAGCTCACTGCAAGCTCTGCCTCCTGGGTTCACGCCATTCTTCTGCCTCAGCCTCCTGACTAGCTAGGACTACAGGCGCCTGCCACCACACCTGGCTAATTTTTTTTTTTGTATTTTTAGTAGAGACGAGGTTTCACCGTGTTAGCCAGGATGGTCTCAATCTCCTGACCTTGTGATCCGCCCGCCTCAGCCTCCCAAAGTGCTGCGATTACAGGCGTGAGCCAATGCGCCCGGCCAATTTTTAATTTTTTTTTGTAGAGATGGGGTCTCGTTGTGTTGCCCAGGCTGTTCTTGAAATCCTGGGCTCAAGCCATCCTCCCACCTCAGCTCCCAAAGTGCTAGGGTTTCTAAAACAAGTTCAGAAAACTTGTCCCTGCCACCATAATGCAAGATCCATTCAGGGACTGACTCTGAGCCTTCAACAATGGTACAAAAGGCTGGCACCAAGCAGTAAAGCATTTCTCAATTCTGAAAATGGATTTTTAAAAAAAGCATGTTTTGGTAGCCATTTTCTTTCCTTTTCTTTTTTTTTTTTTTGAGTTGGAGTTTCACTCTTGTTGCCCAGGCTAGAGTGCAATGGCGCAATCTCAGCTCACCACAACCCCCGCCTCCCAGGTTCAAGTGATTCTCCTGCCTCAGCCTCCCAAGTAGCTGGGATTACAGGCGTGCGCCACCACGCTCGGCTAATTTTTGTAGAGACGGGGTTTCACCATGTTGGTCAGGTTGGTCTTCAACTCCTGACCTCAGTTGATCTGCCCGCCTTGGCCTCCCAAAGTGCTGGGATTACAGGTGTGAGCCACCTCGTCTGACTTTTTTTTTTTTTTAAGACAGAGTGTGGCTCTTGTTGGCCGGGCTGGAGTGCCATGGTGCAGTCTTGGCTCACTGCAACCCATTGCCTCCTGGGTTCAAGCGATTCTCCTGCCTCAGCCTCCTGAGTAGCTGGGATTACAAGCACCTACCACCACACCTGGCTGGTAGTAGAGACAGGGTTTCACCACGTTGATCAGGTTGGTCTCGAACTCCTGACCTCAGGTGATCCACCCGCCTCAGCCTCCCAAAGTGCTGGGATTACAGGCGTGAGCCACCATGCTCAGCCTTGGTAGCCATTTTCTTTTTCTTTTTTTTGAGATGGAGTCTCACTCTGTCGCCCAGGCTGGAGTGCAGTGACACAATCTCGGCTCACTGCAACCTCTGCCTCCTGGGTTCAAGCGATTGTCCTGCCTCAGCCTCCTGAGTAGCTGGGATTATAGGCATGTGCCCCATGCCCGGCTAATTTTTGTATTTTTAGTAGAGACGGGGTTTCACCATATTGGCCAGGCTGGTCTCAAGCTCCTGACCTCATGCCTCCCAAAGTGCTGGGATTACAGGTGTGAGGCACCGCGCCTGGCCTGGTAGCCATTTTCATTGATTGATGCCAGGTGCACTTGCTGTGGACAAGGCTGAGTAGGGGCGTGTGTGTGTGTATGTGCACACGTGCGTGAGCCAGAGGGAGGGCAGGGCAGGGTGATTTCTGAAGTGCCTGGGATTCACTTATAGCTAGAAAGGGGAAACCATATTTAGCCCTGAAGCCCTGGCAAGCTGTGGCCTAGCTGTGCCCCTGCCTGGGAAGGAGCGAGGGCAATGTGGACTCGAGGCAAAGTGTGACTCTGAGGATAAGGTTCTTTGGGGTAAGAAACTGTTATGGGACTGAACTGTGTCCTCCCAGTCCCCGAACAGATACGTATGTTGAAGCCCTAATCCCCAGTGTGACTACATTTGGAGACAGGGCCTTTAAAGAGGTGATTCAGGTTAAAAGAGGTCATCAGCGTGGGCTCCTAATCCAACAGGACTGGTATCCTTGTAAGAACAGGAGATTAGGACACAGGTAGGTACTGAGGGAAGACCCCATGTGAGGACCTTGAGAAGGTGGCAGTCTGGGAGCCAAGGAGAGCAGCCCCAGGAGAAACCAGCACTGCTGACACCTTGATCTGGGCCTTCCAGCCTCCAGAACTGAGAGAGAATACGTTTCTGTTGTTTAAGCTCAGTGTGTGGTGTCCTGTCACGGCAGCCCAAGCTGACCAGCACAGTCTCCAAGTCAGGAGTGTGGAGAAAAAGAACAGGTTTGTTTACAAATGGGTTAGAAAACCCATTTAGCACTTAGGAAAAAACTCAGAAATTACGAAATAACTCAGAAAGCATTATCAACAGGGGAGACGGATCAGCTCCTCAGAAATTATGCTCTTGGCTGAAAACAATTTCTATGCAAGGTGCCAACTGAGTCGAGGGGTAACCCTCTTACCTCTCAAAGTGAAGATCGTAACCACAGGACAAGATCGCCCTCCAGACGCTACGGATATCTTGCCTGGCTCGGTCAATAACAAATTTGTGAAATCCTTCCAGCGTCAGGTATTTTTCCTCAGGGACTGGTGGAAAGGGTTCAGTGTGAGGAATCTGGTGAGACCTGCGCACATCGCGCGCCTCCAACGTGCTCTGCTCTCACCACAGCCTCTCCCCTACGGCCCAACCCATCTAATTCCCCTCTCCCTCCCGTAACTCTGGGAATTGTCATTTGCCATTGTGACCCACTGCGCACAGGATACTCATAAGCCCTCATGTGCCCAGGCCCCTGAGGGCTCTGTCTCCCTCAACAGGCTGCAGTTTCCCACATCCCCTCTTTCTATGAATCTCTAAAACATCCCCGACTGACAAAGCAATTTTCCAGACAACAAGAATAGCTTTCTCCAATGCTGCCTGGGCCTTTCTGGAGGCTTGCATTCTATTGCCCCAGCACAGGCCGCTAGCTTAGGCCAGTGCCTTCTAGAACAAAGCGTCCATGCAGATTTCCCAAGCTTCACTTTTCGGTCACAATCATCTGTTCTTTATCCTGGGCATGCGGTGTTTCTGGAACTGCTATTTTACTTCCTCAAGTTCATGGTCATCAAAGATGGCATCGAGGGGCGATCCCTGGCCAGGAATATTTCCCAGAATCTCTGGAAATGCTGTCCTGCCTGATACCCCAGGGAACCCAGAGCCCAGAGCAGAGGCCATCCCAGTAGGAGTGGCCAGTCAGGAAAAGCAGAGGCCTGCTCCTCGGGGGGTGCCTAGTCTCCAGGATGGAAGTAGGTCCCAGCCCACTCCAGGCCCCGTCTGCTCATTCACCTTCTTGTTTTTTGGTAGGTGACTTTTCTGGGTCCTTTTCATCTGGTTTGCTCTTTTCTGGTGATTTTGGCTTCACAGTTGGCTTCTTCTCACTTAAGGCAGTCCTGCTGTAGACCAAAGCACTGGAATTAGACTAATGCACGTTCACACCTCCTCCCGATAGGAAATACACAGCCTCATAGTCATTCATTCCTGCTCCCTCCTCCAACTTAGGGCTTAGGGCTCAGATAGGGCGGGGGCGTTCAAGACCGCCTTTGTTCTGAGTGAGAAAAGTTCACTGAGCAAATTACAAGGACATATCCGTGCCTTAAAACATGAAAAATCTTGTAGAGACTCTTTTCAAACACTCTTTCTACATATTTTAGAGCTACACTGTTCAATAAGGTAGCTGCTAGCCAGATGTAGCTACCTAAGGTTAATTAAAATGAAATATAATCACAAATTCAGTTCCTGTTCACCCTTGCCACACTGCAAATGCCCCATAGCCAGTTGTGGTTAGGGGCTGCTGTACCCACCAGCACGGATATAGATACAGCACTGATTTCCACCAGCACAGAAAAGTACTATGGGACAGTGCTGATTGAGAAACACCATTTCTACATAATGAATTAACTTTTAAAAACCTTTATTTTTCTGGTTAAACAATTCCTCTAGAGATTCTTGCTGGGTAATATTTTGCTATCAAGGTTTCATCTCTGTGTACTCGAGAGTCACAGACCCGTATCTAAAGAATATTCTATTAAATTTATATGCATATCCATACATGGAATGTTATGAGGCTATTTTTTTTTTTTTTTTTTTTGAGACAGAGTCTTGCTCTGTTGCCAAGGCTGGAGTGCAGTGGCGTGACCTCGGCTCACTGCAAGCTCCGCCTCCCGGGCTCACGCCATTCTCCTGTCTCAGCCTCCCAAGTAGCTGGGACTACAGGCACTCGCCACCACGCCCGGCTAATTTTTTTGTATTTTTGGTAGAGACGAGGTTTCACCGTGTTAGCCAGGATGGTCTCGATCTCCTGACCTTGTGAACCGCCCATCTCGGCCTCCCAAAGTGCTGGGATTATAGGCGTGAGCCACCGCGCCCGGCCTATGAGGCTATTTTTTAAAAAAGGAATGGGGAATTCTTTTTGTACTGGTCTGAAATGATTTCCAAAATTAGTATTAAATAAAAATGGCAAGGTATGGACATTGTGTATGGTACCCAACACTGGGCATATGTATAGAATTGCTTCTGTATTTATAGAAAGGGTTCTTCCCAAAAGCTACAGAAGTAACCTTGCAGGCTCAGGGAGGGGAGCTTCAAGGCTTAAGAATGGTCCGGAGGAAGAGTGGCTTTTCACTGCATCTGCTTTTGAATCTTGTACTATTTTGGTCATTCAAAACTTATGAAAATAATATATAGGCATAAATCAAAGGTCATGTACTTAAAAGTAGTTGCTATGCAAGGGGCAATTCAATTTTTTCCAATAGGCACTATGCATTTTCTTTTTCTTTTTTTTGAGATAGGGTCTCGTTCTGTCACCAGTGCAGTGGTGTGATCATGGCTCACTGCAGCCTCGACCTCTGGGGCTCAAGCCATCCTCCTGCCTCAGCTTCTTGAGTAGCTTCTTGAGTAGCTGGGACCACAGGTGCATGCCACCACAGTCAGCTAATTTTTATATTGTTTTGTAGAGATGGTGTTTTGCCATGTTGCCCAGGCTGGTCTTGAACTCCCGGGCTTAAGGCGTTATGCATTTTCTAATCTTTCTACAATAACTATGCATTATTTGTGTGACTAAAAGAAGTAGGATTAAAGAAAATATAGAACATTTTAAATGTTGTCTTCATTTAGATGGGTCGGCTTTCCAGCCTTCATGGTCAGAATCTGACCACACTTGTGGATAAAATGAAACTCTGATGTTCACCTGATGGAGCTGAGGACTGAGAAAGGAGCTCAGCAGAAAGGGCCCAGACACCCACCGGGCACAGTGGCTCCCGCCTGTAACCTCGGCACTGTGGGAGGCCAGTGCAGGCTGATCGCTTGAGCCTAGGAGTTGAAGACCAGCCTGGCCAACATGGTGAAACCCCATCTCTACAGAAAATTTTAAAAAATTAGTCAGGTGAGGTGTCATGTGCCTGTAGTCCCAGATACTCAGGAGGCTGAGGTGGGAGGATCGCTTGAGCCCGGCTGCAGTGAGCTGTGATCGGGCCGCTGCACTCCAGCCTGGGCGACAAAGCATGACAAAAAAGGCCTGACACCAGGCTCCTCCAGAGGAGCTGCCGCCCCTCAGGCTCCTGCTCGGAGGCCTCCCCCACATCTGCCCACAGGCTGGGCTGCCCAGGCTCCTTGGGGCACGCACCTGACGCTGTTGAGCACAGCCTTGTCCTTGGCGGGCGGCTTGGTGATAGGCCGCTTGGTGCTCACCACCTTCACGGGGTGCTGCTCCTTCCCGGCCTTGCTGTACTTGCTCTTGTCAAACTTGGGCTTTGGCACGCCATACTTCCTCAGGATCTGTGGAGCACAGAGGCAGCGGGGAGGCTCTCAGGTTCGCCCTGCAGGGCACCCAAGGCCCGGCCTGGGTATGGTGGGGACGGGCAGCTACCTGGGTGAGCTGATCCTCCAGCACCTTTTTTGGCGGCCGGACATTGGTGAAGAAGAGGTGGAGGAGGTTGCCTGGGGTCTGGGAGTTGATCTGCTCTTTGCTAAGATAAATGTCAGAGACTCTGATGGGCTTCGCTGGTGTCAGGCTCAGCGTCTGCTCTGAATGGGCACAACTCTTAAATATCTCCGTCAGAACCTCTCTGGCTCCGGGCACCAGCTTCTCCCCTGTTGGATGGAGAGGGGGCAAAACAATTCTGCCGTGAACATGCATCGGGACAAGCCCTGCGAGCATTCTGTTTCCAAACACTGTTTGAAAGGGGCAGTGGATGGACATTAGTGGAAGGAAGAGCTGCCCACCAAAGCCTGGCTCCCTCCCTGGGCACAGCCCAGCACATGCCCAGCCTTCCTTGCCGTAAGGTGCGGCCCTGCAACCGTGGTCACTGTGGGATGTGAGCCACATGGGGACCAGGCTGCTGTCCTCTGCACTTGGCCCCTACCTGGTTGCTCGGGGACGACAGGCCCCTCCCCGAGGGTGGGCACACCTCAGTGCTCACCCTCACTCTTATATCTGCAGGGAATTAACTTCCACTGGACTTGAGCCATTGTCCTCCTGGGGCTATTTATCATAGCAGTTTAGTCTAGAATAATCCCAGAGGATAGATAGCCAGCAAGTATTTTTAGTGGGAAGTACAACTTGTTAAACAGGTGATCTCATTCATAGGAAATATTCTTCAAAACTGGCGCAATGAGCAGGTGAAAAAGAGTTTTCTGAGATACAAAAAAACTGTCTATAAGCACCAGAAAAAATATTTTTTTGTCCCCAAACAAGCACTCCAGAAGGTGCTCTCACCTTTCCTAAGGGCCAGTCATGAACCCATCTGCATGCTCTTAGGAATCACTCCGTTCTCCCAGCAGCCCAGGCCCCTCATTCCCTCTGGACTGCTCCCTCTCCTGGGGAGTCTGGCCTAGGCCAGGCCCAGCTGTGGCAACTCCAGCATATCTGGGCTGAGGGTGGGAGAGGCAGGTGTGTGGAAGAGAGAGGCTGAGACCTCAGCTGACTCAGCAGAGTCACAAGTTAAAAACCTTCACATGAGGCCAGGTGCGGTAGCTCACACCTGTAATCCCAGCACTTTGGAAGGCTGAGGCAGGTGGGTCACATGAGGTAAGGAGTTCAAGACCAGCCTGGGCAATATGGTGAAGCAAAATACAAAAATTAGCCAGGTGTGGTGGCGTGTGCCTGTCTTCTCAGCTACTCAGGAGGCTAAGGCATGAGAATCACTTGAAACCAGGAGGTGGAGGTTGCAGTGAGCCGATATGGTACCACTGCATTCCAGCCTGGGTGACAGAGTGAGACTGTTTAAAAAAAAAAAAACAACAACAACAAAAAAAAGGAAACAACCCTCACATGAGGAGTGTACCTAGCACCATGAGGCAGATCCATGCAGTACCAAAAGACCAGGTACCATATGTGGAAAGTTTGACTGTAAAAGAAACAGGAACTAGAACTAAAATTCAGTATCTAAGTATGAGAAGACTGGGAAAGATAATCATGGCAGAAAGACCTCAGGCTTCCTGTTAAGCAGACCTGACATCGACTTTGGGGGCAGCTGAGAGCTGAGGGGGCAAAACGCACGCCAATGTGGGACAAGGCTGGGACCAGGGTGAGCCCACCGAGGTCTTTGCTCAATGCCAGGCAAGATTTAAGAAAACGCCAAAAACCTCAGTCATCAAGATAAACAATACTTTACTGCAGTATTTTAATCAGTCAAAATTATTTAGTAGCACTTGTCAGCTAAAAAAAAAAAAAAATTGGGCACGGTGGCTCACGCTTGTAGTCCCAGCACTTTGGGAGGCCGAGGCAGGCCTCCGCAGGATTACCTGAGGTCAGGAGTTCGAGTCCAGCCTCCACTGCTTGAACCCGGGAGGTGGAGGTTGCAGTGAGCTGAGATCGCACCACTGCACTCCAGCCTGGGTGACAGAGTGAGACTCCATCTCAAAAAAAAAAAAATTAACGTAAAAAAACCTCCATGATGAACAAAATATTTACAGTGCTGTGCTGACCCATATCAGAGCCTGAGGAAGAGAAAAAGATCAGTAATGCTAATCCTATCTTTATTTAAAATTTTAACACTTTGCTGATCATGGATACTTTAATTTTGACTTTAAAAAAACTATACTACAATATTATTTCTCTTACTGACTGAGTTTTTTGGAGCCCCATTAAATTGTGTACCCAAGATCTCACTTACCTCACCCTGATCCTACCTCTGAGGGAACATTTCCAGATTTCATGATTGGGGTAACCATGTTTTTTTTTAAAGATGGGGTCACCCAGGTTGGAGTGCAGTGGCGTGATCTCAGCTCACTGCAGCCTTCGACTCCTGGGCTCAAGTGATCTTCCCACCTTAGCCTCCTGAGTAGCTGGGACTACAGGCATACGCCACCACGCCCAGCTTATTTCATTTTTTGTAGAGACGAGGTCTCACTATGCTGACCAGGCTGGTCTCAAACTCCTGGGCTCAAGCAATCCATCTGCCTTGGCTTTCCAAAGTGCTGGGATTACAGGCATGAGCCACCGTGCCCGGCCTGGGGTAATAATTTAAAACAACAAAACCTCTACTCAATATTACATGTTTTGGCTGGGCGCAGTGGTTCACACCTGTAATCCCAGCACTTTGGGAGGCCAAGGCGGGCAAATCACCTGAGGTCAGGAGTTCGAGACCAGCCTGGCCAACATGGTGAAACCCCGTCTCTACTAAAAATACAAAAATTAGCTGGGTATGGCGGCGTGCACCTGTAATCCCAGCTACTGGGGAGGCTGAGGCAGGGAGAATTGCTTGAACCCAGGAGGTGGAAGTTGCAGTGAGCTGAGATTGTACCACTGCACTCCAGCCCGGGTGACAGAGCGAGACTCTGTCTTAAAAAAAAAAAGATTACAATTTTATACTTCAAAAACATAGAACAACATAGCAACTCTAAGATGAAATTTCAAACATTAAAGAATTACATTAAGGCCAGTGTGATGACTCACGCCTATAGTCCTAACACTTTGGGAGGCCGAGGCTGGAGGACTGCTTGAGCCTAGGAGTTTGAGACCAGCCCGGGCAACATAGGAAGACCCTCTCTGTACAAATAATAAATAAAATAATTTTTTTTAAAGAAAAGAATTTTAAAAAGAAAAAATGAATTAAAAAAGGAAAAAAAGAGGAATTAAAAAAAAAAAAAAGAAATTAGTGGGGAAGCAGAATTTGCTCCACAAAAGAGCCACCAGAATGGCAAAAGGGCTGGAAAATGGGACTTCGGAGAAAAAAGGGACGGAACTGTTTCTTTCCCAGGAGTCAGTTTACAAGGGGGACGCATGAGCTGTCCTCAAGCATATGATGAAATAATTACCAGCAATGTTCTAGCTGCACAGGACAGAACAAAATAAATACACTGCACTTGAACCAGGGGAAGGCTGGCTAGACAAAAAGGAAAAAATGACTTGAATACAAGCCCACATTCAAGCCTGTTGCAGGCGGCGCAAAGCCACCCCTGGTAGCCTCTCCAGCTGGAACGCGGCAGGCCTGTGGCAGGGGCTGCCCCCACGGCCTTCAGCGCCCTGACAGCTGGGAGAAGGGGGAACATTTCTTTTCACATCATACAAAGATGCACATAACCAGCCCCCACTGACAAACAATGGAGCCTCTTGTGCCATCTCACCAACACTCTCTGAATTGTTTTCAAAATCTGCAACCCAGGAGTAGCTGCCAAATTTCTCTTTAATGCAAGATGTTAAAAATAGGGGATACTGGGGAGGGGAGGAGATTTTAATGCAGATTTTTTTCTGTGAGCCTAAAATTGCTCCACAAAAAGTCTACAGATTAAAAACAAATCCAGAACCCACCTTTAATTGACTTATCATTGAAATAATCTTCTAACCCTGGGCTCCCTTGAGTATCAAAGAGACTCTGATTTACTACAGACACGGTTAGAATCTCTTCTGTTGACATTTCCATCAATTCATCTTCACCATCCAAACTTGACAAACCAATCAAGTCATTATTGTTAAATAAACTTGCTCGAATTTTCTCAATTTTGGCTCGGGATCTTATCTGTGTGAACAGAGAACAGGGTCAGGATTTGAGTAGCTTGACCAGTCATTCAGTGTGAGTGAACTTCTCCCTCCCACCTTTTCCTGGAAACCCTCTATTCATCTGCAGAGATGTGAAAGCTGCCCTACTCTGGTGAGCTGGACCTCCTGGGAAACTTTCTCCCACAGGCCAACAACAGTGACTTTTAGCAAATGACTCAACCTGAAATCTCTGTCACTAAACCCCAGCCAGGTCTGTGGCTTTACTCTGATTCCCAGGGAGGAAAAATTCATGCCTAACTCTGAGGAAGTCCCCATGAAGGAGGATGATGGATTCAAAGAAGTGATTCTAGGAAAGAAACCAGCTGCTTGATCCTTCAACCCTCCTTGCAGAGCCTGCTGGGAGAGTAATGCATGTCAGTTCCCTACCTTACTGTTATGCAAAAGCACAGAAAGGCTCTGATGCAGGATTTCTAAACGGCGAGGCCTAAGGAATACATGGGATCCTGAAGTGGAACTATGACTCACTAGCATGCAGGTCATCTGAAACTCAGAATCACCTGGGACAGAATGGCAGGAGTCTATTCTCATGCTGCTCAGTGACCATCCCTCCTGCCAATGGCAACACCAAAAAGAACAAAAAGAACCCAAGGCCATTCAAGATGCGATGGGGCTGAGTCAGAATGCACTGATGGCGCCCACCCACCGCGGAAGGCCAGGCCCTGAGCCCTCTGGCTCCCCTTTACTTCGTGATATGGGACTTGGTGTCACTCAGAGACGTTACCCCAAGCAGCCTCACTGTGCTCATTCCAAGGGCTGCCCCAGGGAGCCCCCAACCGCTCCACCATTACCTACTAGGAAATAACTTTGGAAGATTTAAAGAGGCTTGGGGGATTGAAATGGGTCATGATTTAGTGGTTGCAGAGGCTTGAAAGCTGTTACCTCCACGACTGCGAAGCCTTTGATGGGGCGGGCGGCGAGGGGCTGGTTGTCCAGGGAAGTGACTGTGTACATGGAGCCCATGTCCGACACCGAGGCCGTCTCTGCATTGTCCAGGGGCTCCCCCAGGCTGCCCAGGCTGCCCAGGCTGCCGGTGCTGCACAGGGAAATGTCCAGGCTTTCCTGGCTGGACACCGCGTGGGGCTCCAACAGGCCCGGAGGGATGGGCAGCTCGAGGCCGGCAGGCAGCGGATCCACAGAGAGGTCGCTGACGGTTTGGGAGATGCCCTGCGAGCTGCAGATGGAGGCCTGGCTGGTGGAGGCGGAGGCGCTGATGCTCATGGCGGGGGTCAGGCTGCTGGACGTGCTGACCTCCATGCTGTCTGTGCCGGGGAAGGCCAGTGTCTTCTCGGGCTCAACTTTCCCGTCCCCGCCCTCGGCCTTGTCTTTTGGCTTCTTGGTGTCTTCTTCCTGCAGCGGGATGTAGATCTCGTCTTTGAAGACCCCGCCGTGGGCGTTGCAGGCCTTGCGGATGGCGCCTCTGACTACGCCCTCGTCCAGGTGGGTGGGGATCCCGGAGATCACCAGCAAGCGGCTGTGGGCGGTGGGGCCCACCAGGGCCTGGCAGGCATCGGCGATGGCGTCACTCGTCACGCCCAGCCCCTGTGGGTCCTTCCTGGTGAGGTGGCGGAGGATGATGAGCAGGGTGAGTGCGCGGTGGAACCACAGCATGTCCTCGGGCTTGCTGCCTCCGATGCTGAGCACGGTGGGGTCCGAGTCCACGGTGCGGGAAGACTGGCGCTTGCCCGACGAGGAGGCCTTTTCCCGCTTCATCTTGACTTTTTTCCTCTTGGAGAGGAGGCTGGGACTCTGTGGGGTCTGTCCTGGGGAGGACGAGGAGGAGGAGGACGAGTCACTGAGATTTGGGGCGGTCGCTGAGGTCACCCCACTGGCTGTGACACTCATGTTAGTAGGCAGGGTCACTTCGGCCACAGCCAGGCACCCTTCCATGAGTGCATGAAAATACGTAGAGAACCTGCCCTGGTCACCGGCCGCCGCCCCCCCGGAGCCCCCGCAGGCGCCGCCTGAGACCCAGTTCTGCGTCTCCTCGTCGTACAGCTTGTGGAGCTCCGACTGCAAGGCCATCAGCATGGCCAGGCAGGGGTTCAGCTGGAGGGCGATTGAGGAGGACAGGCCAGCGGGGTGCCGCCTCTGCTCCAGGGTGTGCACCGTGCGCAGGAGCTCTGCCAGGAGATGGAAAACAAGCTCCTTCACGCAGGCTGCCATGTCCGTGGTCCACAAGAAGTTTCCTGAGGCAAATGAAAATAGTAACAGTAATTACTATGCAGCACTGGCTATGTTCCAGGCGCAGTTCTGAGCCTGGAATCAACCCTCATAACAACCCTGTGAACACTGACTGCGCAATTCAGTCCCTTCTTACAGATGGAGAAACAGAGGTTGGGAGGTGGAGGCCTGGCTGGAAGGCACAACAGCTACCAGACAAGAGAGCTAAGATTCAGAGCTGACAGGTCAGCTCCAGAGGTGACGGCTTTGACCCTTGTGCCCAATGGCAGGGTGCCAGCAAAACACCATCATATTTTGTCTCAAAAGGTTATGCAGCATGTTGGTGATAAGTCCCTAGAATAATGTTTCCCAAAGTACTGGATGCTTACTATGGGGCACACAAGCCAATTTTACCAAACAGCACTGAAACACACACTGAAACACTGTTCCTTTTAAACTCCTCTTTTAGTCCTGATTTTTGCCAACAAGAAAGCCTTACTTTGAGGGTGGCATTATTTATTTTATTTTTCTTTTTTGAGACAGGGTCTTGCTCTGTCACCCAGGCTGAAGTGCAGTGGCACAATCATAGCTCACTGTTGCTCCTAGGCTCAAGTGATACCTCAGCCTCCTGAGTAGCTGGGATTACAGGAGTGTGAGACCATGCCCAGCTAATTTTTGTATTATTATTTTTCTTTTGCAGAGACAGTTTTCATGGTTTTGCCATGTTGCCCAGGCTGGTCTAGAACTCCTGGGCTCAAGCAATCCTCCCACCTCAGCCTCCCAAAGTGCTGGGTTTACAGGTGTGTGCCATTGTGCCTGGCCATGAGGCTGGCATATTCTTTTTTTTTTTTTTTTTTAATTATTTTTTTAATAATTTTTTTTTTTTTTGAGAGTGAGTCTTACTCTGGTACCCAGGCTGGAGTGCAGTGGCGTGATCTCAGCTCACTGCAACCTCTGACTCCTGGGTTCAAGCAATTCTCTGCCTCAGCCTCCCGCATAGCTGGGATTACAGGCTCCTACCAGCATGCCCAGTTAATTTTTGTATTTTTAGTAGAGATGGGGTTTCACCATCTTGGCCAGGCTGGTCTTGAACTCCTGACCTACCTCGTGATCCACCCGCCTCAGTCTCCCAAAGTACTGGGATTACAGGCATGAGCCACTGTGCCCGACCTTCTTTAGTAATTTTTTAAGCTGCTTTTTTTTTTTTTTTTTAAATTGAGACAGAGTCTGTCTCTTATCACCCAGGCTGGAGTGCAGTGGCGCGATCTCAGCTCACTGCAACCTCCGCCTCCCAGGTTCAAGCAATTCTCATGCTTCAGTGTCCAGAATAACTTGAATTACAGGCATGTGCCACCACACCCAGCTAATTTTTATATTTTTAGCAGAGATGGGGTATCGTCATGTTGGCCAGGCCGGTCTTGAACTTCTGGCCTCAAGTGGTCCGTGTGCCTCAGCCTCCCAAAGTGCTGGGATTACAGATGTGAGCCACTGTACCTGGCCAAGGCTGGCATATTCTTTTTTGTTTTTTTGAGATGGAGTTTCGCTCTTGTTGCCCAGGCTGGAGTGCAATGGCGTGATCTTGGCTCACCGCAACCTCCGCCTCCCAGGTTCAAGCAATTCTCCTGCCTCAGCCTCCCGAGTAGCTTGGATTACAGGCATGCACCACCACACCCGGCTAATTTTGTATTTTTTGTAGAGACAGGGTTCCTCCGTGTTGGTCAGGCTGGTCTCGAACTCCCGACCTCAGGTGATCTGCCCACAGCCTCCCAAAGTGCTGGGATTATAGGTGTGAGCCACTGCGCCTGGCCGGCTGGCATAGCCTTAAGAGAAAGTGGGCCAGAGTCCCAGAGCCTTTGACAGGGAACAGCATTCAGCTAGATTTTTGTGACGGCAACTATTTTCTTTGAATGTATGTATGTATGAATGGATGGATAGATGGACTGATTGATTGATTGAGACAGGGTCTCATTGTGTTGTCCTGGCTGGTCTTGAACTCCTGGGCTCAAGCCATCCTTTTGCCTCAGCCTCCCAAAGTGCTGGGATTACAGGCGTGAGACACCAGGCCCGGCCTGTATTTATTTTTATGGGTACCTGTTAGTTATGCCAATGGATACTAATTTTGTATTTAAAGAAGTGATGTAAAGGTTTCCTTTCCTTTTTTTTTTTTTTTTTTTTTTGAGACGGAGTCCCACTCTGTCGCCCAGGCTGGAGTGCCGTGGTGCCATCTCGGCTCACTGTAAGCTCCGCCTCCTGGGTTCACACCATTCTCTTGCCTCAGCCTCCCAAGTAGCTGGGACCACAGGCGCCCGCTATCACACCCGGCTAATTTTTTGTATTTTTAGTAGAGACACGGTTTCACTGTGTTAGCCAGGATGGTCTTGATCTCCTGACCTCGTGATCCGCCCGCCTTGGCCTCCCAAAGTGCTGGGATTACAGGCATGAGCCACTGTGCCCAGCCAAGGTTTCCTTAAAACTAAATTTAAGTTTTAAAAAAGGAGGAGTTGATTGCAATAAAAACTGTTAAATATATGCATGCTGGCTGGGCTCAGTGGTTCATGCCTGTAATCCCAGTACTATGGGAGGCCAAGGCAGGTGGGTCACCTGAGGTCAGGAGACTGAGACCAGCCTGGCTAACATGGTGAAATCCTGTTTCTACTAAAAATACAAAAAAATTAGCTGGGCATGGTAGCGGGCGCCTGTATTCCCAACTACTCAGGAGGCTGGGGCAGGAGAATCACTTGAACCCAGGAGGTGGAAGTTGCAGTGAGCTGAGATCGCACCACTGCGCTCCAGCCTGGGTGACAGAGTGAGACTACATTTCAAAAAAATAAAATAAGTAAGTAAATAAATGCTGACAGGCACAATTTGTGGACATGGAAACAATCATATAATGGTGGCATGATAATGACTGAAGTTTGGGAAACACTGTCTAGAACCACAAGATGGACCACACGTTTGTGCCAAGGTCTCCTTCATACCAGAGGCATATCTTACATTCACATAGTCATGTACCCTGGATCTGAGTGGAAAGAGAGAAAGCTCATGTACGTGAGACACGATTAGGGATCATGAACATCTAAAGCCTGTGTCCCACTGAGCCAGCTGAGCCCTTACCCTGCAAAAGAGTGAACTGCAGTTTGCTACATCCAGATGGCTCTTGTACAGGATAAAAGATTACTGGCCGGGGGAATCCCAAGGGCCTGCTGAAGCTGACTTACTAAGTCCAGCACCTACCAAAGAGGGGATCAAGCTTCCTGCTCTCTCAGGACTGACACTGCTTGCGAATTCTGGTTGGAAACAAGTTTGTGACTGTCCTGGAACATGGGCTCTCATAGAACCTCCACAGAGGACAGGTGTCCTTGCTCCCCTCTCTGCTGGGGCACAGGGCTAGGCCCTCAGATGCCAGAACTATTCATGTCACCTCCGTTGTCCTTGCTCTACCATTTAGCATTCATGTAAGACGACCTTGGAGAGAATTCTTCACCAAAATTGCACATGACGGCCTATGCGCTGAAACTTATTCTCAGACAGTGTTCTCTGCTTACGTCCCCCCTATCCACTCCCTGGGTGTTTTTTATTTTTTGCAGAGAAAGGGTCTGGCTATGTTGCTCCATATCCTGAACTCAAGTGATCCTCTTGCCTCAGCCTCTCAAAGTGCTGGATCATAGGTGTGAACCACACTGCGCTTGGCCCTCCTAGGGTGTATGAAAGCATTTGACTTGGTTGCCAACATTTAAAAATTGAGAAATTCACATCAACATTTGGATTCCTGGATTTTCTTGAAATAAGAAATTACGGTTCCAGGCCGGGCGCAGTGGCTGATGTCTGTAATCCCAGCACTTTGGGAGGCCGAGGCGGGTGGATCACGAGGTCAGGAGATCGAGACTATCCTGGCTAACATGGTGAAACCCTGTCTCTACTAAAAATACAAAAAATTGGCCAGGCGTGGTGGTGGGCGCCTGTGGTCCTAGCTACTCTGGAGGCTGAGGCAGGAGAATGGCATGAACCCGGGAGGCGGACTTGCAGTGAGCTAAGATGGCGCTACTGCACTCCAGACTGGGCGACAGAGCGAGACTCCGTCTCAAAAAAAAAAAAAAAAAAAAAAAAAGAAAGAAATTACGGTTCTGGCAGAAGCAGGGCCATGTTCTCCTGCAGCAGTGGATGACAGGGCACGTGTCCTCTGTGCCTCCAGCTCACCAAAGTCCCCCTGCCAACTTTCCTCTTTATTTCCCTCATTTAGCTGATCTGTTTGAACCCTGAAGGCACTGAAGGCATCCGAGTGTGCAGTGTTTTCTGTTTTTTTGAGATGGAGTTTCGCTCTTGTTGCCCAGGCTGGAGTGCAATGGCGCAATCTTGGCTCACTGCAACCTCCGCCTCCTGGGTTCAAGCGATCCTCCTGCCTCAGCCTCCTGAGTAGCTGGGACTACAGGCATGCACCACCATGCCCGGCCAATTTTTTGTATTTAGTAGAGACAGGGTTTCATCATGTTGGTCAGGCTGGTCTCCATACTCCTGACCTCAGGTGATCAACCCGCCTTGGCCTCCCAAAGTGCTGGGATTACAGGCGTGAGCCACTGCGTCTGGCCCGAGTGTGCAATGTTTTCTTCCCTGCAACATTATGGAAAAATTCAAAAATATAGAAAGCCTGAAGAAATTATACAGTAAACACCTGTGCACTTACCAGCTAGATTCCACCATAAACATGTTGCTGTATTTCCTCTACTACATATCTGTCTACTCCTCTATTCATCCACAAACCCATCTTAGTTTTTGATTATTTCAAAATAAGTTGTAGACATCAGTATGCTTCATCCCTAAACACTTAAGGAGGCATATCATTAAAGTTTAATATTTATTTAGAATTTGTTTAGGTAAATTTGCATATGGTAAAATGCACAACTTTTACATTTATCATTCCATGAGTTTTGCAACCTTTTTGACCCTTTGAGGAACTATGCAGTTATAACCTTTGATTTTGCAACATTGTTCATTTCCACACCACCCTTCACCCCTAAAGTTACAATAATGGCATATACTTCTGTTTTAAAGTAAAGTGGATAAAGTTAATCTTATTTTCCTGGTTAGTTTCCAATCCTCAAAATAATGAAAATACCCAGCAAATCATGGATTTGGGAGTCTAGGTTGTACCTTAAGATCTATTCCCCAAGCCCACTTCAAATGACAGCAATCTGAAGGAGGCTGCAGCTGCCTGGGCTACCTGTGGCCACTCCCTACACCACCTGGCAAGCTCCTTCCTCAGGCACCATGCCAGCTCCACCCCCACCCTAGATTCCGATCCCCAGGGAAGGCAGCCTCACCTAGCAGCTCCACCACCTGCAGGAGGACGGATGTCGGAATGGTGTCAGGCTCATCTTCGGACTTCCCTTCACTGTCCTCTGATTTCCAGGACAGCAGCTGCTCTGCGAAGGCCATAGCCAGTGGGAACTCCAGGGGCAGGGAATGTAACACCAGGACTGCTCCAGGAGGTGGAGACACCCCTGCAAGAAGCACCCAGGAAGAAAGCAGATGATTGGCAGCACCTGACCCAAATAAGCCTCACAAAAGGTCCTGCCAGGTGTGCATGTAGAAACAGGGCTGGAGAGCCCACCCACTCATCTGCTCCAGCAGGAGGACACATAACTCCTGACACTCTGGACAGTGGGCTGCAGGGACACGAGGAGATGGAGGCCATCCCTCCAGGGAGTCCGCTTACTGGGGTGGATTTGGCAAATGGGACAAAGAACGGAGATGAGAACAGAGGACACACACTTGTCATTCAGTTAGATACCAACCAGAATGGGGAAAGTAAGTAACACTTTAAAAGATGCCTCACTGGGATATTCCCAGCTTGGTAAAGAAATAATCAGTCCTTTGGTATGGCTGCAATCCCACTAAGACCATTATGCTTATTACAGTGGACCAGCAAGGGGTCCCCAAGACTTAAGACTACTGGCACCTTGGGTTTTGATTATCTTATCACCTTTTGTCACTGCCATGGCCTACGTGTGACCAAAGCTGTCTACAGTGAGAGGAAGAAGGTCCAAGGCTTGATCCCCCTCACATCCTGCACTGCCCCTGAAGCCCCTCTATAAACACCAGTCAGACAGAAGCCAGGGCATCAGAGGGCTTTGGACAAGTCAGAAGCAAACCATATTGGCTTGTATACTCTGGGGTGAATGTTTACATAGTGATAATTGTGGAATGACAGAGATCCTCTGTTTTAAATGTAAAGTTTAAAAAACAGCTAGTATAGGAAAAATACTATGAAAAACAGACTCTAATAAAAAAGACCATAAAGTTGTTTAGCAATGACCAAATCACTGAAGAAATGTTCTTTCATTTCATTCCCTAAGATGCATTGTCTCAAGGACTGGGGTGTGGAGAAGCCCAGGCCTGTTATTTTGGCTAAAAGTTCACATGTTTTCTGTCTCTGGCAAACACGCGTCAGTCTTTTCCTGTCAAGCATGCCAAGGAGGAGCAGTGGAGGCCTGTGATGAGGATTTCCTTTCTTTTCTGTGCATACTCAGACACAGAGCCAGCAGGCCCTGGTGCATACAGAGGACAGGCAGTGACAGTTTCAGGGCATGTGGAGGCAGAGCCCTCATCTAACTCTAAAACGATGGAGGCTTCAAAAAAATGCCCAGGAGATGAGAGCAATCGAGCTTCCAGTTAGTTGAGGAGCAGACTCTCACAGTGGCCAGTGCCCTGGGGAGCCATGTTGAGAATTTGGTTAATGAGAATTCAAGGAATGGCAACTGGGATTATCATAGCCTGAGCCAGCTGTAAGGATGTGATTGCTCTGGTTGTATCATTCTAAACAGACACATCTCAGCACATACTTGTGAAAAGAAAGGAAATCTCCACTGTAGTCTGGACAGCATCTGTCAGGCCTTCCCTAGGTAGGAAAGATAAGTCTTTTAATTTACTGCCTCTAAAAGAAGCAGCAGTTTCTTCCAGAAGTCCCCAGAAGTCCTATTCTTTATCAATAGGAACTGGAACATGCAAGGTACAAAATTCATTATAGCTTCAAAAAGAAGGCAAGAGGAGAATGACTCCAGCTGTTCTCATCATGACAAGCTGCTGGAGACTCACCCAGTTTGATGTGGACCCTGTCTGTGGAGAGGACCACAGAGGGGTACTGGTCAGCGGTGGGGGGAGGTGCAAGCCCAGTGTTGGCTGGGGACGCGTCCCGCGGGTAACAGGCGGCCTCGATGAGGTTCAGCTGGCCATTTCGCTTCACTTTGTGGCCGAGGCCATATACGAGCACCCGTGCCCACGGTGCCTTGTACAGAGAGGAGCTGAGAAGGAGGGATGGGTGGGTGTTAATACAGGGTCTAGCCATGCACATGGGGACAGGCAGCTTTGCCTTCTCACCAGGGGACGTTAGATGAGAACTGGGCCCAAGTCATTTCCACCACACTTTGGAAGGTCATTCTTTATAGACTAATTCCCCAAACATAGAAATATGGAGAGAATTGTAAGTCATTTGCATTAAAGAATCAGTGATTTGAATTTTTTTCCTTGGCCAGTTTCACCAGAATTCATTTAGCTTTCCTCTCCCCATCACCATCTTCTTGAGAACAGGCAACTTACTCTTTGCGGAATCCAGATTGACTTTCTTTACAAGACACAACAACAAAAGCTGCCCCGGGGAAATTCACGTCCATGTTGACTTTGGATTCGGAAATTGGGAACTCTTCGGAGGGGAACTGCTCTGGTGCTGTCTGCAAAGAGACACTGAATAAGGAAAGCCACGGGCTAAACACAGGGACAGCATTTCATCTTCTCATCTCACATGGCCCAGGAAATCAGCCAAACGACTAAATAGCCCTCTGGAAGGAAGCAAGCTACAGATGAGATAAAGCAGAAAAGCTTCTAGGAAAAGGAAATCGAGAGGAATAGGGACTTGGAAGGGAAAGGGGAGTCATTTTCAGCAAGCCAGTGAGACTCCCAGTTAAAAATGGTAACCACACTGCAGGAACATGAGCTTTAGACTTCTACCTGCAGGAAAGAGCAGATCTGTTTCGTCAGCTCTAAAAGGCTCTCCTCGCCCTGGTGCAGGGTCCGGGTGATGGCCACGTTGAGCCACTCTCTCACTGTCTGGGAGTTGCCCTGGTAAAAGAGGTCCGTGGCGGAGCAGTTCTGGGAATGGATGCAATGCTGTAAAGACTGCGCCAGGAGGATCGAGCTGGAGCTGATGGTGCCGTCTGGGGACGGAAAGGAAACAGAAGTTGACAAGAATCAAAGCAGCCAGTAGCTGTGAGAGTCTAAGTAACAGAAAATGAATAACCCATCCAGAAACCCCAGATGGGAGGGTTATCCTGGATATGATGTCCTGGATAACAGATGCCGGCAATCAGATCCTCTGCACCAGGATGGTGGAGGGGGACCCAGGAGATCAATGGGCTTCATACTTTTGCTTTCTTTTCAGCTGTGAAACTGTTGCCTAAAATAAAATCTACACAGAGGCCCAGGTCTACGAAATATATCAAATGGGGCTGCTTGGATCCAGGGGTTCCCAGAGCCTGACCTGTCTGACTACTCTGGCCCACCCCCGCAGGGTACCTTAGGGCACAGCCTGTAGAGAAACTTGTTAGATCATCAGGGCAAAGCTTCTGCCACCACATTTGATGCTTTCCAGGTATATTTCAGGGCATCTAAGTTCTTGGGATGGGCTGTGGACCCCAGGCGCTCATATGGACCAGTAGCGATGTAGTGCACACATACCCTGGCTGGGTGGGACCCCACAGTTGTGAGCTGGAGGGCAGCTACCCAGGATGCTGACTGAGCCTAGATTGCTATCTGCAAGTGAGCTTTGAGGGGTGTCCCCTGCCTGCCTCACTTCTTGTTCCCATCTTAGTTGCTGGGAGATCGAGGCGGCAGGCTGGAGGCTGAGATGCCAGGGGAAGACAGAAAGGGCCCCTGAGTCCTGGATAGTGCTGAGGGCAGACTCATCACCTGGCATTCACTGGGGATCAGACACAGCCCTCATGCCAAGGGCACACAGGCTGGCCTTTGGAACAGCCTCAGCAGAACTTATGATGAACCAAATAGGTCTGCTTTGGAGGACGCTGATGACAGGAACATCTCCTTTCTTTCTAATGTCAAATAGAATGTCTGTGGCAACAATACAGTGACTTGGTTTCATAAGTAATACTTAATTTTCCTTGATCCACAATTACGTTGGGAAACTTGATGAATGCTTAACAGAGTAATGACTCAAGTGAGTAATCCATTACATTTTTCGAAGAGTGAGAAAGCCCTGCCAGGAGAATCCCAGTTCCTGCGTGCAATTTCTCACGTGAGCCTATGCGCACCATGAGGCATTTCTCGCCCTCATGCAGGGAATGACTACACTGTGCACAGCGCCCGCCTGGTGCTAAGTTCCAGAGTGACAGCAGCAAAGCCAAGTTTTACCTGGGAGAGGAGGTGCGAGGAGCTGATTGGACAGCAGTTGCAGGTGCTCCAGGGTAATGTCCCGGATGGCAGGGATGTGGAAGAGGCGAGTGAACAAGTGAGGCAACTTCGGGGCGAAGATATTGAGCAGGGCCATGCGGCAGTACAGCCTGGCCAGCGCAGCCTCGCAGCGCAGCAGCTCCCTGCAAGGGAAAAGGTGGGTGAGATACTCAAAGCCCTGATGCTCCGGCCCCCATACCGGGACCAGGCCGCAGGTTCTGAAGGAAAAGGATCCTGCCTCAGGCTTCTCTTCCAGCCTGATGTTCCAAACCCTAAAGGAGTCACTTGAGTTTTAAACAAAAGTCACATTAAGTTATATTGTTACGTTTGATTTTTCCCAGCTCAAAAAAGCACTGTAGGGAAAAAAATAAAAATACATGTCCGCACAAAAATTTGTACATGTATGTTCATAGTAGCATTATTCCTAATAGCCAAATAGTGATAAGAACTCAAGTGTCCATTAACTCAATGGTAAGTCTATACAATGGGGTATTTTTCAGCCATCAAACAGATCAAAGACTGACATACGCCACAATGGGAATAAACCTTGAAACATCATGTTCTCAGTGAAAGACACCAGATACAAAGGGCCACATATTGGATTCCATTTCTGTAAATTGTCCAGAGGAAAATGCATAGAAACAGAAAATAGATTGGTGGTTGTCAGGAGTTGGTGGGAAAGGAGGATGGGAAGTAACTGCTATGGATATGGGGTTTCTTTTGGGGTGATGAAAATGTTCTAAAATTGATTGTGGTAATGGTTGGACAACTTTGTGAATATAATAAAAACCACTGACTTGTGTACTTTAAATGGGTGAATTGCATGGTATGTAAATTATATCTCAATACAGCTATTATAAAAATACCATCGTGGGCATTTTTTTATGTGATGAATTAGTAAAGTGATCGGCATTCAACTTGAATAATAGCTCATTAGTGCCTAAGCACGTCTTATGGGCCAGGCGCAATGGCTTACACCTGTAATTCTAGCACTTTGGGAGGCCAAAGCAGGAGGATTACTTGAGGTCAGGAGTTTGAGACCAGCCTGGGGAACATAGTGAGAATCCCTCTCTACAAAAAATAGAAATCGCCCTGTAGTCTCAGCTACTTGGGAGGCTGAGGTGGGAGGACTGCTGAGCCCAGTAGTTGGAGGCCACAGTGGGCTATGACTGTGCCACTGCACTCCAGCCTGGGTGACAGAGCAAGACTCTGTTTCTAAAACACAAAAACCTAGGCCCCAAACTCACTCTGAACCCACGGGGGTCATTTGATATTCCTACTGACCCTAATTAAATTTAATGCTGGTGTATCATAATTCAAATTTAGGTGTAATGGCAATTAAAGAAACAACCCCATATGGAACACTTGATGAGTGTATGTGTGAAGTGAAGATAAACAAAAAGAAGACAGCTAAGAAACTACATCGTAGGTGGTTTCTTCCTTATCAACACCAGTCTGTGTGGTTCTCATGCCAGGATGAACAATAAACACACTTCTCCTGTCTCCTCCCTCCTTGGAAGCCCATGTGTTCACTGCATTAACAAAGCACATGAGGACCACGGCAACAAAATTGGTAAGGACTGAATGGGCAAGCTGAGAACCCCACGGTTCTCCCCTTGGCTTTCACCTCAGACTTTATAGGCAAAGTTACCAGGGACGGAACTGTTTGTTTTGTTTTCTTGGGCTTTTTTGAGACAGGCCCTGTTGCCCAAACTGAAGTGCAGTGGCGTGATCATAGCTCACTGCAGCCTTGACCTCCCGGGCTCAAGCAATCTTCCAGCTTTAGCCTCTTGAGTAGCTGGGACTACAGACATGCGCCACTGCTCCTAGCTAATTTTTTCTTATTTTTGTAGAGACACGGTCTCTCTCTCTCTCTTTTTTTTGTTTTTTGAGATGGAGTCTTGCTTTGTCACTCAGGCTGGAGTGCAGTGGTGTGATCTCGGCTCACTGCAAACTCCGCCTCCCAGGTTCAAGCGATTCTCCTGCCTTGGCCTCCCAAGTAGCGGGGATTACAGGCGTGTGCCACCATGCCTGGCTGATTTTTGTATTTTTAGTAGAGACGGGGCCTTACCATGTCGGCTAGGCTGGTCTCGAACTCCTCACCTCAAGTGATCTGCCCACCTCGGCCTCCCAAAGTGCTGGGATTATAGGCGTGACCCACTGTGCCCAGCCAAGACAGGGTCTCTCTATGTTGCCCAGACTAGTCTTGAACTCCTGGGCTCAAATGATCTTCCTTCCTTGGCCTCCCAAAGTGCTAAGATTACAGGCGTGAGCCACTGCGCCTGGCTATGAGCTTGTTTTGGGTCTGACCTGCAGCCCTGGTTTGGACACTGTACACTGCTAATGCCTCTGAAGCCACTGCTGCTCTAGCCTCTGTTTTCCAAAATCCTCTTTATTTATTAAAAAAAAAATTTGAGACAAGGTCTTGCTCTGTTGCCCAGGTTGGAGGACACTGGTAATCATGGCTCACTGCAGCCTTGAACTCCCAGGCTCAAGCAATGCTCTTACCTCAGCCTCCCACTTAAATAGCCAGGACTACAGGTATGCACCACCAAGCCCAGCTAACCAAAGTCTTCTTTAAAACCACTGTGAGTGCTTTAGCACAGAATACAATCTTGATGAAAATCTGTGCCAGGACCAGAAATCCAACCACCGAATGATCACACAGATCTGCATGGCATGTTTCCTATGTCTTCCAATACCAGGACCACCGCATTAACACTGATTAAACATCCTACACTTGTAAGTTGATTGTAACTCTATAAGGACTTTCTTGCCTTCTCTCTCAGTTGCTAGTCAGCAGTCAACAGGTTTCATCTATCAAAGTTGTTTGCTAAAAAAAATGACCAAAAGACTTATTAAATAAAGCTTTAAAAGCTTTTAATAATACCATGTTGATATTCAAGCATGTATGTTTGGGGACCCTTTTCAGCATCTATTTTGAGTCTACAATGTGTGTCAGGGCCTAGCTTAGGCACTGGGGACTCTAGCAACCTCTGCCTCCTGGGATCAAGTGATTCTCATGCTTCAGCCTCCCGAGTAGCTGGGACCATAGGCACATGCCACCAGACCCGGCTAATTTTTGTATTTTTAGTAGAGATGGGGTTTCACCTGTTGGCCAGGCTGGTTTTGAACTCCTGGCCTCAAGTGAACCGCCCACCTCGGCCTCCCAAAGTGCTGGGATTACAGGTGCAAGCCGCCGCACCCGGCCCACAAGAACAAATTTTAACAAACAAGCAAAATAACAGCAGTAAAAACATCAGGTCCTGGGAGAGCATTAAAATACTGTAGTTTCCTGACAAAGAGCGCATGGACAGTCACCTTAGATGGTGAGGGCAGAGCTTTTTGAAGAGGTGAGTATTCACTGAGATCTGAATTACAGAACGAGACAGCCAGGGGGAGCTCTGGGCCATCCCTAAGGAAGCAACACACTAGCTGTGTGAGCACCACAGAGGAGGGGCTGCCAAGCTCAGAGGCTCCTGTGGGGTTCTGTGAAGCAGGTTAGGTTTGAATGTACTCCATGGGAAGGTCTGCATTAGAGGAGGGAGAGCTGATTTCTGTGTCTAAAAGATCGCTCCAGCTGTTGTGGAGAGGAGAGTTGAGGCCTGGGCTGTCGTGGTGGAGGTAGGAATGGAGACGTGTGCAGATGGGGACATATTTTGGAACAGTCAATGGCACTTGCTGATAGCTCTCTTGAGGAAAAAGGATGGTTTGTGGTGCCCCTTCCAGATATGGGGAGGCCAGAGGCAGAGGAGATTTCAGGGAAAAATTCAGATTCCACCTCACACGAGAAACTTTAGGGGCTTATGAGATTATTTGTGAGTTAAAGGTCAACAAAACCCTATCCTTGTCTACCTCAGAACTGCCCTTGGTTAAGGTGTTTTAAAGTCAGTTCTTCTGAAAACCTGACAAAGAATGTCGGCAACATCACAAGGCACTGCTTATGATACTAGTGACCCCTCACAGGCAAGCTGTGTCTAAATGGGGAGGACTGTGAAGAAGAACATTCTTGGTGGGAAGCCACAGCTTCAAGGCTTCTGGAGCATGGTGATGCTTGTAACTGGGCATGCCTCTTGCTGGAATCCCTGGAAGCCATGCCTGTGGAGTATTCACAAGAGATGTCAGCTTGGATTAGGACACGGGGCTGTTGAGCCGCCGGCCGCAGGAGCCCTGCTGTGGGACATTTCTCCTTCACACCTGAGTTGACACTTGGGTAGGTATGTAGGTGGGGTCAGTAGGTAGGGTCAGGGAATAGCCCCTGAACTTCTATGTGGACGACTGTGAGGACCCCTGTTGAAGAAACATTTGTGATATTGCCCTGTGGTATGCCTACTTCCTGTCCTGTATCTCGCTAAGTAAAGCTAAGAAAGTCATATGTGACCTATTTTGGTCTTGTGAATTTGACTGACTCATTGAACTTAAGATCACCCAAACGCTGCAATGCAATCTCAAGTGGAGATGGTCTATCTCAAGAGGTCTTGCCGTCTAGATAGATAAGCATATCTGGAGTTCCAGTGAGAGATGAGAGCTGGAGATACACTCAACTTGATTCAAAATTGTCAACATCATGAGAAATTGTGATGGCTAATGGATGAACAGCATGAAAAATAGTTTCTGGAAATTTTTATTAGAGAACTCCATTTATTATTATATTTTCCTCTGAATTATTACAAGACATTTTAAGATGGAAAGGAATAATTCTCAGGGGAATTGGCAATGGTGAACATGAGGGAGCTTTGCCAGATCTTTAGGTTTCAGCCCACTGAGGGCAGGCACATGCCTTGAACACCTTCTCTTCTGGAAGCCTGCACAGTGCTAGGCACATAGAAAGCACTCAAGCAATACCTGATTGGCTTCACAGCGAAAGGAGCTTACACTGTACCTGGACATCTTCTTACCTTTTCTTGACTTGCTTTACTCTCCGTAACTTTCTCCACGCTCTTCCAATCCGTGGAATGTGATGGCTATTCATCCATTAGCTATCACGATTTCTTGTGATGTTGACAATTTTGAATCAAGTTGAGTGTATCTCCAGCTCTCATCTCTCACTAGAACTCCAGATACGCTTATCTGTCTAGACGGCAAGACCTCTTGCTGTCTCCGGTTGAGATTGCATTGCAGCGTTTGGGTGGTCTTAAGTTCAATGAGTCAGTCAATCTCTAGCTACCCATCAGTCCTCCCAAATCACAGCAGGGTGCATGTTGCATAAGTCAGATGATTCTAGATCCCCCATTTTTTTTTTTTTTTTGAGACGGAGTCTCCCTTTGTCACCCGGGTTGGAGTGCAGTGGCACAATCTTGGCTCACCGCAACCTCCGTCTCTCGGGTTCAATAGATTCTCCTGCCTTAGCCTCCAGAATAGCTGGTATTACAGGTGCCCATCACCAAGATCGGCTAATTTTTGTATTTTTAGTAGAGATGCGATTTCACCAGGTTGGCCGGGCTGGTCTCGAACTTGTGACCTCAAGTGATCTGCCCACCTGGGCCTCCCAAAGTGCTGGGATTACAGGCGTGAGCTACCATGCCTGGCCCCTAGATCCCCCGACTTTTCTTCACACCTCCTGCAATTTTGCTGTTATCTTTATTAGCTGCCTTCTCTAAGTGTTAGCTTTGAAGGAAAAACTTTCTTGCTGAGGATAAATGGTACATGGTACATGTGGTAGAGCGAAGTTGGTGGATTTCTGTGACCCAGTAGAAAGAAGGGCCCAATTGTACCTGTGAATTTGAAGGTTGGTATTGTCCAGTGTGACCAGCCCATTGGTGGCAGTCCTTCGGTAGCCTGCTGGGGGCCTTTCCAACATGTCAATAGGATACCAGTATCGCACCAGCACACCTTCACTGCGGAGGTACGTTTCTACCTGCACCAGTTCATTCACCTACAATAGGAAAAGAAAATGTCTGTTTGTGCTGTTTGCTTTTGTTTTCCATGTGTGCGTGCGTGCGTGTGTGTGTGCGTGCGTGCGTGTGTGTGTGTGTGTGTGTGTGTGTGTATTTTCAGTCCAGGCTTTTAGGTATTATAATTTGTAACTAATTGCTATTTCATAGACAAACGAAAGAGAATTCACAATACATTTTTGAAACACATATTATAAGTAATCTTATTACTATATAAACTTGCTATGTGCTTTTCTAAGAAAATAACAAAATAACAAACATCAGAAATGGGAGAGATCTTATTTTATTTTTTTTGAGATGGAGTCTCACCGTGTCATCCAAGCTGGAGTGCAGTGGTGTCATCTCGGCACACTGCAGTCTCTGCCTCCCAGGTTCAAGAGATTCTCCTGTCTCAGCCTCCCAAGTAGCTGGGACTAGGCACCCACCACTGTGCCCAGCTAATTTTTGTATTTTTAGTGGAGGTGGGGTTTCACCATGTTGGCCAGGCTGGTCTTAAACTCCTCACCTCAAGTGATCCGCCTGCCTTGGCCTCCCAAAGTGTTGGGATTACAGGCGTGAGCCGCCATGCCCAGCCAGGAATCAGAGAGATTTTAAATGAATTCTTAAATATAAATGTGAATTAATGACATACTAGAAAGGCCAAAAGCCAATTACTGAAAAAAAAAAATTTCAATCAAAATAAAAAAAGAACAGGATAATATATACATAAACACACAAACAACCAGACTAATATATATATATTTATACATATATAACCAGATTATAGCAATAAATGCTAGTTTCATGCCATTGATTTAGTCTAAGTTCAAAGACATCTGCTTAGTACTGAGTGTTTTAGTTTTTCCATACCAGATGGAAAATTTTTATTGATACAATAAAGATTTTCAATGTAATCATAAGTTAGCAATTTAAAGAGAATAGTGCTATATTTCCAGCGCAAACTGTTGCTAGGTAAAATTTATGTTCATTGTTTTTATGTTAATAATATCTTAAAAGCAGGGAATCTGTCTGATAGCTGTATTTTATTTCTAGGAAAATAAAAAGTAAGCTCATACATATGTATTTTGGATGCAAATACCAATGCAATTTTCATTTAGGGATTATTAAACTGGAGAGAAATTACCTTAGAAATAACAGAATGATTATAATAAGGACAATTCTATTTTTCTAATTTTTATTTTCACACATTTCTATTGCTCAAAAATATCATCCTAATGTATTTTCTTACAATCAGAGTCAGAAGTTTGCATCAGAAGGCAGTGGGAGATTAACAGTATTATTGATGGAATTTTCCATTTGAAAGTTCACCTCAGTGACCACCAGTCAATAGCCCCTCTAAAAAAATCTAATGAGTTAAATTACATTCTGACAAAATAGAGTCAGATGATGTAATTTTTTTTTTTTTTGAGACAGTGTCTTGCTCTGTTGCCCAGGTTGGAGTGCCATGGCATGATCTCGGCTCACCGCAACCTCTGTCTCTGGGGTTCAAGCAATTCTCCTGCCTCGGCCTCCCAAGTAGCTAGGACTACAGGTTCGTGCCACCATGCCCAGCTAATTTTTGCATTTTTAGTAGAGATGGGGTTTCATTATGTTGGCTAGGCTAGTCTCAAGCTCCTGACCTCAAGTGATCCACCTGCCTCGGCCTCCCAAAGTGCTGGGATTACAGGCATGAGCCACCACATCTGGCCTAAAGATGTAAATTTTTCAAGGTAAATTTCAAAGCATTAATGGAACCTAATATCATCTGTATCTCTCTCTAGACAGATACCAAAGTTTATATCTATACAGTGATTGATGATATTAATATTTTATCAGAGACTCTCAGGCTTGATCTGTATATTATTTCACCAGTTTTTCCTGCATAGGAAGCTTCTCAAATACAAGGATGGGCATGCAACCTCAGAATCACATAGTCATGGCTTTCAAACAGGAGTCTCTTTTCAAAAGAAAGCTTTGGCCTTGTCCTCTCTCACTCTGCCCCCTTCCCGAAAAGTCCTAGCTGTGTCCTAGGAGAGAGCTTTGCAAAATGGAGGAGGAAACCACTGATCCAGTTTAATACACTCATTTTACAGATAGGGAAATTGAGGCTGAGAGAATCAGTGAGATGATGTGATCAAAATGACAAAACTTTTTTCTTTTTTTTTTCCTTTGGAGACAGGGACTCACTCTGTTGCCCAGGCTGGAGAACACTGACGCCATCACAGCTCACTGCAGCCTTGACCTCCCAGGCTGAAACGATCCTCCCACCTTAGCCTCCCACATAGCTGGGACTACAGATATGCCCACCATGACTAGCTAATTTTTTGTAGAGACAGGGTCTCGCCATGTTGCCCAGGCTGGTCTCGAACTCCTGGGCTCAGGTAATCCTCCTTCCTCGGCCTCCCAAAGTGCTGGGATTACAGGTGTGAGCCCCACGCCCAGCCTATTTCTTTGATTTGTGTCTGTATGACCATCATGGCAATGACAGATCATCCATTCATCAAGGACAATGGGGACTTTTCCCTGGGAACTTGGGTAGATATAATGCAGGAACAGTTTGAACATGTCGGACAGAAAATAATGGTAGAGGTGGTGTGGTCTGAAGGCGGCCACAGCTTTGAGACTGGAGAGCCTACCATCTACTGCCAGCCCTGATCTGAGTCCCTGAGGAAAGCTCAGGCAAGTCAATTGGCATTAGAGCATTTTTGCTTTGTGTCTTCGTCCCTGATTTGAAGAGAAACTCATCTGTATAATCACTTTTTAAGGTACCTGGGAATCTGGGTATGACAGCCTCAGTATATATAAAATAGCTTATTAATCAGAATGGCTGTTCACTCACTGAATCAACATCTAAGACGACTCCATGAAGCCCAAAGGTTTTCAGCATCCCTCGGATGGCAAATTTTGGCAGAGCAGTTCCAACAGCACTGCTGGCTACATTATTGCTGTCTGGAGAGCGGGTTACTACTGTGAGACCTGAGGAGTGTAGAGGGAGAAGTTTTTCAGGAAAAAGTACCACTGCATCTGGGTTCTTACATTTAGCATCTAAAATAGCTCTCCAGATAAACATAAAATAATAAAATAAAATAAAATAAAATAGCTCTACGGGCTTTAACAGAACCCTCAGTTTTGTTATAACCAAGCAAGAACACAACTCAGTCTGGAAGGTAATATAATAGAACGTTGTAAAAGCTCTTACAATTGAAGAATAAAAAGACAAATAAGCCAGTTTAAAATGGGCAAAGAATTTTTTGTTTGTTTTTTGAGACAGAGCCTTGCTCTGTGGCCCAGGCTGGAGTGCAGTGGTGTGATCTCGGCTCACTGCAACCTCCGCCTCCCAGGTTCAAGTGATTCTCCTGCCTCAGCCTCTAGAGTAGCTGGGATTACAGGCGTGCGCCACCAGGCCCAGCTATTTTCTATGTTTTTAGTAGAGATGGAGCCCAGGCCCTACCTCTTTTCTTGTGCAGCTGCCTGCCCCACTCAGCTCATGCTACTGAGTTCTGGGAAGTGGGAAGGGCCCCACCAGGGTTGCCCTAGGGCTTCACATGGGGCGGTGTGGAAGAGGTTAGCCCAGTCGGAGTAAGGAGAGTCACCCTAGGAGAACCACCAGCTGCTTGTGCACATTAAGGAAAATTCAACCTCTCATTTCATAGGAAATTTCATAGGTCGAGTAAGGAGGAAAGCAAAACCTTTTCGAACTTTATCAATTGTGAACTTGTTTGCTTCGTCTTTAATGTCTTCAATGGTGGGAAGATAAAGGTCTCTTGGGATGCCACCATTCTCTTCGTAGAGAAATTCAACCGTCTGTCGGGCAATATCCACCATACCTAAAAAATATAACAGCACAGGGTAACTCCCCAAAGAGTACACACAGATCAACCATGACACTGACTTACATGTAGAGTGAAATGATAAGGGAATCTTTCAAACATTGTTTATGAAAGTACATAACCCTTTGGCGAAGGAAATTGTGCAGTATCTACCATGTTTGGAATACTAAATGTACTACTTTTAGGAATGTCTCAAATCTCTTCCACAGAAATATAAGCACTAAGGCCAGGCACAGTGGCTCACACCTGTAATCCCAGCACGTTGGGAGGCTGAGGCAGGTAGATTACTTGAGGCCAGGAGTTCAAGACCAGCCTGACCAACATGGTGAAACCCCGTCTCTACTAAAAATACAAAAATTAGCCAGGCATGGTGGCAGGCGCCTGTAAACCCAGCTACTCGGGAGGTTGAGGCAGGAGAATTGCTTGAACCCAGGAGACAGAGGTTGCAGTGAGCCAAGCTGGCGCCACTGCACTCCAGCCTCAATGACAGGGAAAGACTCCATCTCAAAAAAAAAAAAAAAAAAAATGGCCAGGCGTAGTGGCTCACGCCTATAATCCCAACACTTTGGGAGGCCGAGGTGGGTGGATCACCTGAGGTCAGGAGTTTGAGACCAGCCTGGCCAACATGGCAAAACCCCGTCTCTATTAAAAATACAAATTAGCTGGGCATGGTAGCAGGTGCCTGTAATCCCAGCCACTCGGGAGGCTGAGGCAGGAGAACTGTTTGAACCCGGGAGGTGGAGGTTGCAGTGAGCTGAGATTGCACCATTGCACTCTAGCCTGGGAGACAGAGCAAGTAGCACTGTTGGTAGATAGCAAAAAAGTAGAAAAAACCGAAGTGTTCATCAGTACAAAATGACTAAAAATGGTCCATTATTTTGCAGTTATTTCATTTTCGTTAACTCAAAATAACAAATTACAGGACAAATGGAGAGGAAGAAGAAAGTGAGGGTAACGTTTCTTTTTCTTTTTCTTTTTTTTTTGAGACAGAGTCTTGCTCTGCCGCCCAGGCTGGAGTGCAGTGGTGCAATCTCGGCTCACTGCAACTTCCATCTCCCAGCTCAAGTGATTCTCATGCTTCAGCCTCTCAAGTAGTTGGGATTACAGGCGCGCACTACCACACTCGGCTAATATTTTTGTATTTTTAGTAGAGATGGGGGTTCACCATGTTGCCTAGGCTGGTCTCAAAACTCCTGACCTCAAGTGATCCGCCTGCCTTGGCCTTCCAAAGTGCTGAGATTACAGGTGTGAGCCACCGTGCCTGGCCAGGTTTATTTCTCTCTATATTTTTGTACTGTTTGATTTTTACTGCAATAAACACATGTTGCTTGTTTAAGAAAGAGAGAAGGCTATATGAGCTTCTTCTATCCACTTATTGAGATTGCTCTTTCTTCCCAGAGAAAGAACATACGATTATGTTTGATAGCAACAGCTACTATTAATTAATAAACCAAGTAATTAAATGTCCAAAGACCTGGGAGGAAAAGCATTATGGGAGGAAAGCAAAATGGGCACAATTCCTCCATATCCTGTTGTTGCCTTAGGCCCCACAGTGCCCAGGACGTTGTGGGTGAAAGGGCAGGTGTTGGTCAGGGGCAGTGGCTCACACCTGTAATCCCAGCACTTTGGAGGCCCGGGTGGGAAGACTGTTTGAAGCCAGGAGTTCAAGACCACCCTGAGGGATATAGCAACACCCTGTCACTACAAAAAATAAAAAAATTAGCCAGGCTTGGTAGTGAGTGCCTGTAGTCCCAGGTACTCGGGAAGCTGAAGCAGGAGGATCTCTTGAGCCCAAGAGTTTGAGGCTGCAATGAGCTATGATTGCACCACTGTACTCCAGCCCAGTTAATATAGAGCGAGACTCTCTCAAAAAAATAATAAAAAAAGTGGGTGTTGATAGAATCTGCTTTTTTTTTTTTTTTTTTTTTGAGACGGAGTCTGGCTCTGTTGCCCAGGCTGGAGTGCAGTGGCGTGATCTCTGATCACTGCAAGCTCTGCCTCCCGGGTTCCTGCCATTCTCCTGCCTCAGCCTTCCGAGTAACTGGGACTACAGGTGCCTGCCACCATGCCTGGCTAATTTTTTGTATTTTTAGTAGAGACGGGGTTTCACCGTGTTAGCCAGGATGGTCTCAATCTCCTGACCTCATGATCCGCCTGCCTTGGCTTCCCAAAGTCCTGGGATTACAGGCGTGAGCCACTATGCCTGGCCTAGAATCTGCTTTTTTTACACAAGGCCTAACTCCATCCCACCTATCTACCATTCTTTTATTCACTGGTCTTACTGTAAGGAAAAAGCATGGCAATTTTCTGAGCAGAGTTTAAAAGGGTGCTGTGATTAGAGACAGACGCTTTTGGAATTAAGTGTTAGAATAAACAAGAAATTGTGGCCTAAGATTAGAAGATTAGGGAACAATAATCTTTGCAATGTTTTCAAAAGGAACAGTGGGTATGAGAAAAAAAATACTGTTTGTTTATGTATATGTGTGTGTGTGTATGTATGTATGTATGTATGTATGTATGTATGTATGTATTTGAGACAGACTCTTGTTCTATCTTGCCCAGGCTGGAGTGCAGTGGCACAATCTCGGCTCACTGCCGCTTCTGCCTCCTGGGTTCAAGCGATTCTCCTGTCTCAGCCACCGGAGTAGCTTGGACTACAGGCGTGTGCCACCACACCCAGCTAATTTTGCATTTTTAGTAGAGATGGGGTTTCGCCATGTTGGCCAGGCTGCTCTCGAACTCCTGACCTCAGGTGATCCACCCACCTCAGCCTCCTAAAGTGCTGGGATTACAGGCGTGAGCACCATGGCCGGCCAAAAATACTGTTTAATAAGCAGGAATCAGGGAACAGTGAGAGACTGCCAAATCAACCTTGCAGAGCACATATTCCATTTTAAAGATGGGGAAAGCCCAGAGATGTTAAGTAATTTTCTCAAGTCCACACAGCTGGTAAACAGTATGACTTCAGATGTGAACTGTTAACCACCAGACCACAGAGTTTCCCAGTATAACCACTCCAGCTTCACTGCAGCAGCCCATCAACCCAAAATATTCAGCTAAATTGACAAGCAAATCAAAGTCCAGCAATGAAAACAAAAGATCAGAGTTCACTAAAGGTAAGGTCAAAGACACTGTTAAGTATGGTGCAACATTAGATGAGTCTCTCCTGATTTACATTCTGATTTTCATCCAGCTCCTCACTTCAAGTCATGAAGTAACCTCCTTAGCAGAACAAAAAGTACCAGACCTAGTTGTAAGGCCCCCTTTATCTGGTCCAGGCCCGATTTCCGCTCTGCTTCATTGCGGAAGCGTCTTCGGATGGTAGGAAAAACCTTGGTCTCCCATGCTTTCACCAGCAGGGCGTAGTGGTCCTCCTGGAAGCAGAAGGAACCTCATGAACAGAGAAGGAATATCTGGTGCAGGCATCACTGTTTCCCTAACTTACAGCCCTCACCCTGAGGTCTTCACCCCACTTAAATGCCAGTAATAGAAAGATCAGACATAGACCCCTGTACTAGATACACCCCCAGATGCCAGGGCAGGGAACAGCAACACTAGGGCAAGCTCTTCGTTTCCCTCTAAAGAAGCCATAGAAGCACTTTCACAGGATTCTGAACTATTGCAAAGCACTTCACTTCTCCAGTTTCTGGATCTTCACCGGGCAAAATGGCCCAACGGATATCGCTATTGATAGGGGTTTAGAAAAATTAACACTCTAAGGTCACTGTTCAAGCACAATGATGTCACTGAGAGTAACAAAACCAGCTTTGCACTCTCACATCAAAATCACTCCTCCAGGCTTGTCCTAGTCACTAGGGAGCTAAGCAAATGCTGCTGAGTCCTGATCTAAGCCTGTGGGTCTCTTACCTGAGGGATGTCATCATCGTCATCATCATCGCTTTCATCATCTGCAATGGGAGGCGGGTGAGGGTCTGGGCCAGAGGTGATGAAATTCTCATAGCTGAGCTCGACTTTATAATGACAGGAGGTGTCACTATCATATTCTGTAACAGAGCACAAGGACAGCGAATTCTAAACAAGAGCAGGCTAGAAAAATCCTTAACTTCTCACCCTTAGACAAACCAGATTATCTTAATTTGCATGATAGGAAGACTCCTAGTACACTGAGGAATGTTAAATCACAGAGTCTAGGAATAACTAATTATCTATAATTACCCTGAATCCTAAAATAGTTTTTATGAGTATAATTCATTCAATTCAGAGAAGACTTTAGAAAGTCCTTCACTATAGATAGAACTAAACAGGCTTTTTTTTTTTTTTTTTTTTTTTTTTGAGACAGAAGCTCACTCTGTTGCCTAGGCTGGCAAGCAGTGGTGCAAAGATAGGTCACTGCAGCTAAACCTCCTGGGCTCCAGCGATCCTCCCACCTCAACCTCCTGAGTGGCTGGGACTACAGGTGTGTGCCACCACACCTGGCTATTTTTTAAATTTTTTTGTAGAGACAGGGTCTCACTGTGTTGCCTAGGTTGGTCTCAAACTCCTGGGCTCAAGCTATCCTCCTTCCTTGACTTCCCAGTGTTGGGATTATAGATGTGAGCCACAGTGTCTGGCCCTAAACAGAATCTTAAAACAGTTTGCAAACTAGTATCCAATGGGCCAAATATGGCCTGCAGACATCCTTACTTTGGTGAGCTGTTTTATTTAATTTTATGAAAAAATTGTTACAAGTAATCATAAAAGTTTTTTTTTTTTTTTTGAGATGGAGTTTCGCTCTTATTGCCCAGGCTGGAGTGCAATGGCACGATCTCAACTCACTGCAACCTCCACCTCCCGGTTCAAGCAATTCTTCTGCCTCAGCCTCCTGAGTAGTTGGGGATTACAGGCACACGCCACCACCCCCAGCTAATTTTGTATTTTTAGTAGAGACGGGGTTTCTCCATGCTGGTCAGGCTGGTCTCGAACTCCCAACCTTAGGTGATCTGCCCACCTCGGCCTCCCAAAGTGCTGGCATTACAGGCATGAGCCACCTCACCTGACCATCATAAAAGTTTTTAGTGCACGCCTATATATCCATTGCCTAGCATTTTATTATTCTGTGATTACCTTGGTTTTAGGACAATTTTTGAAAATGAGTAACACTGTGACATGAGGAGACTTCATACAAAGTCCTGGGGCTCTAGTGGTCTTGCACTGGCTGCCCTAAGGCATAGCAGGCTTCCTGGAAATGGGGATGAACTTTCTGGTCTGCTGTGCTTCATCCTGCTCCCCACCTTCTTTCACCAGGCCTGTGACCCCATTACCAATGGGCACGTGAGTTTGCAACTCCTGATTGTAATGAGGATGCTCAAGTGCAATGGGTTTATGGAATTCATAACATTCATGGTCTCAGGAAGCCATGGAGGCAGTAAGTTCCAGGAGGTGACTTACGTTGCTGAGCGGTGGCCACGGCAGCAATCCGGCATGGTGGCCCATGAGTGCCTGGGTCTGATGCAATACTGGTGCCAGCATCATTGTCACTGTCAGATGCCATGGCGAAAGGCAGGGCCTCAAAGTTAGCGCTGATCTCTTCTGCTAGGTCAGTGCACAGGTCAGCAGCATTGCGGTGGGCCTGCCCTTCCGCGTAGGCAAACGGCCGGGAGCCAAAGTTAGCTCGGGTTTTGGTGTTCTGGAAAGGAGACCAAATGAAGGATTTGGAAAGACTTACGTTTATTTTTATTTCTGCAAGAGCCCAAGGCGCAGCTCACTAAACGTCACCTTGGAAGAATAGCCCGAGGTGTGTGCTGGCATGAGAAACCAGGTGGGGGCTGGAGGGACTGAGCACACCTGTGCTCAGAGCCCTGTACAGCCAGCCCTGCCTCCCTGTCCCTCACCTCACACTCTCATGTACTTTGCTGCTCAAACACATTGACCTCTCTTGTTTCCAACACTGCTCCTCTCTACCTGACACTGCTCCTCTCTACCTGACACCAGCACCCATGCTGTTCCTTCCACCTGGAATATTCTTTTGTCCAACTTTGCCTAGTTAAGACCAGCTAATATTCCAGACCTGGCTCAAGCAGCACTTCTTCAGATTAAGAGATACAAGATCAGATGTGCCTGCCACTTGCTTCTAGGAAGTCTGTGATTCTCATTCACAGCATTTACTAGTCTGTGATTACATACATACACATGCATATTTATGTGATTATTTGACTACTGTCTGATTGATTCCTCCAACTGATCATAACCCAATGAAGACAGAGATCATATCTGTTTTGTTCACTGCTATATATCCAGAGCTCAGCATAGTGCTTGACATAGAGTAAGTATTCAATAAATATTTGTTGAATGCATGAATGGAACAGGCTGAGAAATGCTGCTTTAAATTATTGGCATCATTAATTCACTCAACAAATACAGAGATAAAAGATGGTATCAGACACATGGTACAGGGCCAGATCCTATAGGACCTTATAGGTTATTTTTTTAAAAGACGGAGTCTTGGCCGGATGCAGTAGCTCTTGCCTGTAATCCCAGCACTTTGGGAGGCCGAGGTGGGCGGATCATGAGGTCAGGAGTTCAAGACCAGCCTAGCCAACATGGTGAAACCTCATTTCTACTAAAAATACAAAAATTAGCCCAGTGTGGTGGTACACATCTGGAGTCTCACTATGTTGCCTAGGCTGGAGTACAACTGACTATTCATAGGTGCAATCATAACGCATTGCAGCCTGGAACTCCTGGGCTCAAGTGATACTCCCAACTCAGCCTCCAGAGCAGCGGGGACTACTCTGGCACCACCACACCTGGCATCTTGTAAGTCATTATAAAGACTTGGGCCTTTAAAATGCATGACACGAGAAGCCACTAACTGGATAGTGACATTCCAACTAACATCTTGAAAAGATCACTGTGGTTGCTGGGTTGAAAAGACATGTATTACCTTAGAGATGTCCTGAAGGGGGAAAAAAAAAAAAAAGATAAGACGTGAACGGGCAAGAATGGGGACTGGGAGAGGAGTCAGAACACTGTAATGAGCTACCCAAGGGAAGATGGTGGCAGGGCCGGGTTGTTGATGGAAGAATGGGAGAAGGGGTCAGATTCTAGATACATTTTGAAGGTTAGAACCAAGATCTGCTGACAGGTTGGATGTGGAGCAGAAGAAAAAAGAGGAGTCAAGGAGAATATCAAGGTTTTTGGCCTTAGCAACTACAAGCATGGAGCTGCCATTTCCTGAGATGAAGAAGACTGGGGAAGTGGCAGCTTTGGGTTTGGGGGAGAGTTAGGCTAAGTCTTGGTCACGTTAACCTTGACATGCCAATAAGGCATCTCTTTAGAGATGCTGCCCAGGCTGCTGGGTATGTGAGCATGGAGTTTAGGGAAAGGTCTGGGATAGAGATATGGATGTGGGAGCTACCAGCATGTAGTAAGTAATAATGTTCCAGAACATTGGATATTAATAGATGCCCCTTAAGAAACAAGAGTTCCATCATTAAATATGTATGAGGATGCTGGTTAACTAAGTTGAACTTACAAATCTTTACCGAAGGTTCTCTCCAAGTTTCTGACATACTGAGCAACCAAAGAGAATCACTTTCAAAATTTACTTAATCACATAATCATTTTACTGACATTTGAAAGAACTCTAGTGTTCCTTGCATTGTTGTCTGGGAAAGGTTGCTAAAAAAATGTCAAGGCAATGAAGCACTAAGTTCCTGATATAGCATTGTTCAAGCTAAGACTGTGGGGTCAACACAAAGGAAGACACACACTTGCTCAAGCTGGCTCTGCCCTTCCTCTGCCATTGTGTACCAATATTATGTACAATGAGGGCCCGTTTGCTCCCTTTCATTTTTCCATGTCTAACAGGAACAGGTGATGAAGGAGAATTTGTTTTCCTTTCCCAACAAGGTAACCTGCCTTTTTCTGAATGTGAACCACTGGCCACATGCCACCAGAGACGTCTTCAAGATATGGTGAGAGGCGCTGCCCGCAGTATGTGAAGTACACCCGGCCCTTGGCTGGCTGTCCCGGAGGAGGTGGAGTCCCCTCAGTTCTCTCCCAGCCAATTCCTGCCACGTCACCTATAGCAGAGAACGGGAAGGAAAACATATTTTCTCCCTTTTATTAAGTAAATTTTAAATTTGCAACCGGAGTGTCACCCTACACATCACAGACTATTTATGCTCTCATTTACTTCTGAAATGGACATGAAGTTATTGTTATTTATTTATTTATTTATTTATTGAGACGGAGTCTCACTCTGTTGCCCAGGCTGGAGTACAGTGGTGCCATCTCGGCTCACTGCAACCTCTGCCTCCCAGGTTCAAGCAATTTTCCTGCCTCAGCCTCCAGAGTAGCTGGGATTACAGGCGCCTACAAGCACGCCCAGTTAATTTTTGTATTTTTAGTAGAGACAGGGTTTTGCCATGTTGGCCAGACTGGTCTCGAACTGTTGACCTCAGGCAATCCACCTGCCTCGGCCTCTCAAAGTGCTGGAATTACAGTCGTGAGCCACCACGCCCAGCCTAAGTTTTTGTATTTAGATATAAAGTAACATAACAGAAACAACCCATTTAAAGAAGCTGTCAGAATTTTTAGAAGGAAAATGCCTAGTGTCTGTGTTAAATTAGTTACCGCAATTACATATTAAATTTAGCCTTTATTTTCCTGGCAGGCAAGAAAAAAATGAAAAACACTAGGTACTATTTTTAAAATAGAAAAATGAAGTTTTTCTCTTTTGACACATGGAGGATTACTTATGACGAATAAGTAAAAAGGTATTAGTAATATCATCTCCGGTGAATATTCAGAAATGGCCTAAAAATATATAATTTAGGCCGGGCACAGTGGCTCAAGCCTGTAATCCCAGCACTTTGGGAGGCCGAGGTGGGTGGATCACAAGGTCAGGAGATCGAGTCCATCCTGGCTAACACGGTGAAACCCTGTCTCTACTAAAAATACAAAAATTTCGCCGGGCTAGGTGGCAGGCACCTGTAGTCCCAGCTACTTGGGAGGCTGAGGCAGAAGAATGGCGTGAACCCGGGAGGCGGAGGTTGCAGTGAGCCAAGATTGTGCCACTGCACTTCAGCCTGGGCGACAGAGCAAGACTCCGTCTCAAAAAAATATATACATATATATATATATATATATAATATATATATAAAATTTAAGGCCAGACATGATGGTTCATGCCTGTAATCCCAGCATTTTGGGAGGCCAAGGTGGGAAGATTGCTTGAGCCCAGGAGTTCAAGACCAGCCTAGGCAACACAGTGAGACCTCGTCTCTACAAAAAATACAGAAATTAGTCAGGCATGGTAGTGTGTGCCTATGGTCCCAGTTACTCAGGAGGCTGAGATGGGAGGGTCACTTGAGCTCAGGGGGTCAAGCCTGCAGTGAGCTGTGATTGCACCACTGCACTCTAGCCTGGGTGACAGAGTGAGACCCAGTCTCAAAAAAAATAAAAAAGAAAAAAAATACATATATAATTTTAAACTTCACCTACAATGTAAGCTAAAGATAGACCACTAAATTCCATTATGTTTCCTACTTATAAGCATTTAAGGCATTTTGCAAAAAGTGAAGATAACCAACAGAATCCAGGCTGTTATCTGATAAGATGACTGGACACTGTGGTAGGACTTACAGAACCAAGAGAAGCCTGTCAATTGCATCGGCACTCTTACATCAGCTGCCTCAAGCAAGCTGCTAGCACGTGTGGCCTTATAATTTATCTTTTGTAAACTCTCCAGTAAGTGCATGAAGTTCTAAGGTTCTGTTTTGATCACAGAGTCTCCTATGGCTTAGGTACCACAGGAATGGGAGCTTCCCAGTGGCTGGGGACTTGTCATTGTTCGCCACGGCATCCCCAGGGGCCAGAAGAGGGTCTAGCAGGTAGGAGATGCTCAGCAAGTATCTGTTGATGAATGGAAGCCCATGTATTGGTAGAGGGGTTGAGATTCTGTTAGACAGATTGGGTTCTAATTCCTATTCCTTTGCAGACACATTTCTCTAGAAAGAGGGTAGTCTGTGTGCCCGTAGTCCAGTCCTAAATGTTCTCAAAAACCACAACTGATAAAACAACAAATACAGCAACAAGGAAATAAAAACACTGAAAACGCTCCCCCAGCCTACCACCCACCCCCTGACATACACCCTTTTGTGCTGAAAGCACTTAGGTAAGTACTCTGCTGAGATGTCTGAGTTATGCTTTGTGAAGTAAGAGAAAAATTTTTACTTTGCCCTGAAATGATTTCCAAGTCATAGTATGACTTGGCTTGAGTAAAAACACTATGCTGCCAGGGGCCGGGTGTGGTGGCTCACACCTGAGAGCCCAGCACTTTGGGAGGCTTAGGCAGGGAGATTACTTGAGATCAGAAGTTTGAGACCAGCCTGGCCAGCATGGTGAAACCCCGTCTCTACTAAAATACAAAAATTAGCTGGGCATGGTGGCAGGCACCTGTAATCCCAGCTATTTGGGAGGCTACGGCAGGAGAATTGCTTGAGCCCAGGAGGCGGAGGTTGCAGTGAGTTGAGATTGCACCACTGCACTCCAGCCTGAGTGACAGAGCAAGACTCCACTTCAAAAGAACAAACAAACAAACAAAAAACACAAAAAAACCGCACTGTGCTCCCAGGAAAAGTGTAATTTAACAAGCAGCCCCCTTAAGGACAAGTGATGGCAAAAGTAACCTCCAGGCAGCTACAAGAGGCTACCTATTGGAGTGACTTCATATTCCCCATCTCATCATCCCAGATTGTTTACTATGTATCTCAATTTAAGTTCTATTATAGATGAAGCCTAAGATGCATTGTCTAAAAATAAGTAACCAACATATTCGGCTGCTTCGAATGTCAGCAGGACAGTTCTGTTTTTTTGCTATAGCTGGAGTACGTAGGGCCAATCCTAATTCAACTACTATACAGATCTAGTTATTTACATGGAGACTAAAAAGAAGGAGGAAAGGGTTCTTTATTGAGTTGACTGTCTATGTGACTGAAACATAGAGGCAGAACATTTGTCAAAGCTTGACCAGATGTTTATAGGCTGTATCTACCAATAAGGCATTTCTCTCTCTCTCTGTTTTTTGAGATAGGGTCTCACTCTGTCACCCAGGCTGGAGTGTAGTGGTATGATCACAACTCACTGCAGCCTCAACCTTCTGGGTTCAAGTGATTTTCTTGCCTCAGCCTCTCGAGTAGCTGGGACCACAGGCATGCGCCACCACTAATTTTTGTATTTTTTGTAGTGATGGGGTTTCGCCATGTTGCCCAGGGTGGTCTTGAACTCCTGGGCTCAAGTGATCCTCTTGCCTCAGCCTCCCCAAATGCTGGAATTATAGGCGTGAGCCACTGTGCCTGGCCCAATAAGGCACTTCTCCAGTGCCTCACAGCTAGAGGTGGAGTTCTCTTTTTTTGAAGCTATTTATCTGCTCATTAATGAAAGACTAAACTTCAGATAGAAGCAAAATCTCTGAATTATCTAATGACTAAGGCACAAAAGTACACGTAACTCTGGAGTTACCAAATGGAGGCTCTAATGGCGAGGGCTCATAAAGTGAGGGGTTTGGTGTAAACTAGGGGGCAGCAAGGACGTGTTTGGTTTTTGCTAAATGACAAACTGCCCATTTCCAATTGCTAAATTTATTCAACTTTAACCTGTTTAGACCCAAACCTGAGACCAACAGAATCACACAGGGTGGAAAAGCTCCCACTGCACTCACCGGGGGAGAGAGTCACGTCTAAGCGAACGCTCTTCCACTGTAACAAACTGGAGCCATTATAGTGCACGGCTCGGCCGTTGCTATGAAAAATACAAAGAAGGGAGGTCAAAGACAAGAAAGATAAGCCTCACTGGCCAACACACAAACAGGGAAGTGGTGAAGTGGAGGGGGGGTGGTCAGCATTGTGAGATTATTATAGTATCACTTTAGTATTAAAATACCCACACCAATATTTCCCAAACTGTATTCCTAGAATAAAGGGTTATAGAATTTGCAAAATAAACAGATTTTTAAAAAATTACAGGTCAACTAGGAAGGAATCTTACTAATGTGCACTGGAAATCTCCAGAAAGGAAAAATAATGCTCTCCTTTCCCCAAACTCACTTGAAGACAGAACTCTATTTTGACTTCCTGAACACCTATACACACCTTGTGGGAGGCTACTGCTCTCTGTCACACTGAGCTACTTCTTTTACTTACTTATGGAAAAGACAAGTGCCCACTGGATTAGTCCAAGCCCCATCTCGCTTCTCTGCTTCTGTAGTGAAGCCAAAGGAAACTATGGGTCCGGTGTCATCATCGGTGTCTCCATAGGAAACGATTTCAATTTCCCAGTAAAAAGACGGGGCCTGAAGAGATGCCAGAAGAGAGCAGCAATCAGAGGGCTAATCCTGGGCCTGAGACCTGCTTTTTCTTTCAAATCTGAAGATGCAAAAGACAGTGTGTCATGTGATGTCTCACCTGAACTGGCAGTGGTGAAGTGGCATAGATAAAAGTGCCCCGGGGCAGGCCTCCCCCAGCGCTGGGGTCAGCCAGGAAGGTGACTGAGGTAAGGTGAGATGAGAACATGCAGGCTCGAACAGGCGGAAACACTCGCGAGGGGCTCCAAGTAATCTCTTTGGGCTGCATCAGGGAGAAAAACCCATATTCAGTAGAACTGCAAACACAATCCCTTTACTCTCTCAAAGAAGAAAAAAATTTTATCTGATGGTATTAAAATATAGGCATACACACACACACACACATACACACACACACACACATACACACACACACACACACACAATTTATTTATTTAGAGACAGAGTCTCACTCCTATCACCCAGACTGGAGTGCAGTGGTGCAATCATAGCTCGCTGCAGCCTCAAGCTCCTGGGCTCAAGTGGTCCTCTTGCTTCAGCCTCCCCAGTAGCTGGGACTACAGGTGTGCATCACCACACCCAGCTAATTTTTGTATTTTTTGTAAAGATGAGATCTTGCTATATTGCCCAGGCTGATCTCAAACTCCTGGGCTCAAGCTATCTGTCTGTCTTGGCCTTCCAAAGTGCTAGGATTATAGGCGTGAGCCGCCATGCCCAGCCAGGCACATATATTTTTTAAAAAGTGTATCTTTTTTCCAAATAAAATTTTTACTATCCCTTTAAGACACTATTTATCTTCCATTATCATCAATTCCAAGGTCTGGTCCCCATCCTCTTATAGCCCCCATGTAGTTACTGAACAAATTTTAGTACAATTTATAAATGCATGACTTAATATTCAGCTCAAGGCTAAGCAGGGGAACCATGGTGACACTTCCTTTTTCTTTTTTTAAAGGTTAGTTGTCTTGCTTTCTCAGTTTTATTTTTAATCATTCTAATCATAAAAATCTCAAGCTTCTCTATCAGATAAAAGCAACTTTTAAAAAATTTATTATTATTTTTTTATTTTTTGAGACAGTCTCATTCTGTCATCCAGGCTGCAGAATCCCAGCTACTCAGGAGGCTGAGGTAGGAGAATCAGTTGAACCCGGGAGGTGGAGGTTGCAGTGAGCTAAGATCAGGCCACTGCACTCCAGCCTGGGTGACAGAGTGAGACTCCATTTCAAAAAAAAAAAAAAAATTCATATAACACACAATTCACCCATTTGAAGTGTATAAGTCAATGTTTTGTTTTGATTTTTAATATTTATGGGTACATGGTAGGTGTATATATTTATGGGGTAAGTCAATGGTTTTTAATATATTCACAGAGTTGTGCAACCATTATCGTGATCTAATTTTAGAACATTTTTGTCCCTACTGAAGGAAATTCCATACCCTTTAGTAGTCAATCGCCGTTCCTCTCTTCCCTTAACTCTCCTTTGCCCCCACAGCTCCTGGCAATCACTAATCTATTTTCTATGTCTATGGATTTACCTGCACTAGACATTTCATATAAATGGAATTTATATAAGATGTGGTCTTTTGTGTCTGGCTTCTTTCACTTACTGTAATTTCAAGTTCATTCATGTTGTAGCATATATCAATACCTCATTCCTTTTTATGAACAAATGATATTCCATTACATGGCTATTGCATATTTTATTTATTCATCAGTTGATGTATATTTGCAGTTTCCACTTTTTGGCTGTTGTGAATAATGCTGCTAAGAACATTAATAGATGTACCAATTTTTAACATTTTGCCCCTCTTTTTTTTTTGGACAGAGTCTTGCTCTGTCACCCAGGCTGGAGTGCAGTGGCACAATCTCAGCTTACTGCAACCTCTACCTCCCAGGTTGAAGCGATTCTCCTGCCTCAGCCTCCCAAGTAGCTGGGATTACTGATGTGCACCACCATGCCCAGCTAATTTTAGTATTTTTAGTAGAGATGGGTTTCAACATGTTGGCCAGGCTGGTCTCAAACTTCCGGCCTCATGTGATCTGCCCAGCATGGCCTCTCAAAATGTTGGGATTACAGGCGTGAGCCACCATGCCCAGCCCACTTTTGTTTTTTAATTACTCACTTATGTTCTCTGTTATGAAACTGACTGTATCTCTAAACTTAAAAAAAAAAAGCTTTCTTTTTGTTATTGACAGCACAAAGAAGCTATTTATAAATTATGAAGTTTCGCTCCCCTGCTATAATTTTCCAATATTCAGAATGTCAGCTCAATTTGCTCTGACATTCAAAGATGAGAGCATGGCACCGCAAAGAGGGCATGTCACTGCAAAAGAATGCACCTCCAAACGGCTTTGCAAACACTTATTCTAAATGTCCTTAACTTGCTGCTGGCCTTACTCAGTGATGTGTGTGGAGGCTGCAGGAGGCGCGAAGCACCGCAGAGGGCTCACCTGTCTTCGGTCAGCCTGCAAAGGAGGTGGTGGGGGCCGAGCACAGTCCCGGTAGAGCATCCTCAGCCGTTCACACTGTACCTCCACAACTGCAAGTCGCTCTCCTGTAGAGGGCACATGTTGAATCTGTGAAAACAACTCCCGCAACTCCCAAGTGGGTGCTGACTCTTTTGGAGCAGCATCAAAACAATAAAATGCACTTATAGAGCTCATTGAATTTTTTTTTTTTTTTGAGACAGAGTTTCGTTCTATTGCCCAGGCTGGAGTGCAGTGGCGCGGTCCTGGCTTACTGCAACCTCTGCCTCCTGGGTTCAAGAGATTCTCCTGCCTTAGCCTCCCAAGTAGCTGGGATTACAGGCACATGCCACCGCGCCCGGTTAATTTTTGTATTTTTAGTAGAGACAGGGTTTCACCATGTTGGCCAGGCTGGTCTCGAACTCCTGACCTCAGGTGATCCGCCTGCCTCAGCCTCCCAAAGTGCTGGGATTACAGGCTTGAGCCACCGCGCCCAGCCTGAAATTCTTATAAAACAACAAATACCCCGAGACATCTTTGTCTTCCATAACGTAGCCCAGCATCACAACAATGAGGGCAAGTGCTTAGCCTCTGGTGCAGTCCAACTCCTGGATTCAGAACCTGGCCCCAGTACTCAGTATTTATCATCTCACTTGCAATACTGGGTAACAACAGCACCTGTGTCTCACAGGGCTGTTGTGAAGATGTGATGAAATAACTTAAGTAAAGCCCTTGGCTAAGTCCCTAGCACAGGCATTCAATAAATGTGTTGTTATTCTCATCATCTAATAAATGAAGACTATTATTCTTATCACCTAAATTAATTTTTAAAAATCTAATATCTATGGAGCACCTGCTATGAGCAAGGCACACTGCGAAGTGTTGGAGAACACAAAGATATATGAGCCAAAGCCCCTACTATGGAGGGAAAATAAGATGCGCACACACGCAGACCACACACAGGCACACACACACAGTAAAGAGCACAGTGCTGGGCTGCAGTATGTGATTATGTAATATAAGGTACAAGCAGAGGCACAGGTGAATGAGCAGTGACTTCATTCGAGCATCCAGAAAGGCTTAATGAAAACATCATTAAGTTAGATCTTAAGAAAGCCAGGTGCGGTGGCTCATGCCTGTAATCCCAGCACTTTGGGAGGCTGAGGCAGACGGATCACTTGAGGCCAGAAGTTCAAAACCAGCCTGGCCAACACAGCAAACCACCATGTCTACAAAAAATACAAAAATTAGCCAGGCATGGTGGCACATGCTTGTAATCCCAGCTACTCGGGAGGGTGAGGCATGATAATCGCTTGAACCCAGGAGGCAGAGGTTGCAGTGAGCTGACATCATGCCACTGCATTCCAGCCTGGGTGACAGAGTGAGACTCTGTCTCTAAATAAATAAACAAGAGATAAGAAGCACCTGCCCTGGCCCTGCATGGTGGTGCATGCCTGTAATTCCAGCACTTCGGGAGGCTGAGGCAGGAGGACTGCTTAAGCCCAGGAGTTTGAGACCAGCCTGGGAGACATAGTGAGACCCCGTCTCTACAAATTTTTATTTTTTTGAGACAAGGTCTCTCGCTCTGTTGCCCAGGCTGGAGTGCAATGGCGCAATCTCGGCTCACTGCAACCTCTGCTTCCCAGGCTCAAGTGATCCTCCCACCTCAGCCTCCCAAGCAGGTGGGACCACAGGCGTGAGCCACCACACTTGGCTAATTTTTTGTATTTTTTGTAGAGACAGGGTCTTGCTATGTTGCCCAGCATATAAAAATTACAATTAAAAAAAAGCACCTGTTTTAAAGTGTTGGTAGTGAAAACGGGCAGGAAAGGGATAAATTTCAGGAGCATTTTATTTTATTTTATTGAGACAGGGTCTCACTCTGTCTCTCAGGCTGGAGGGCAGTGGTGCAATCACAGCTCACTGCAGCCCTGACTTCCTGGACTCAGGTGATCTTCCCACCTCAGCCTCCCGAGTAGCTGGGACTACAAGTATCTACCACCATGCCTGGCTTTTTTGTAGATAGGGAGTTTCCTCCATTTTGCCCAGGCTGGTCTCAAACTTTTGGGCTCAAGCATTCCGCCTGCCTTGGCCTCTCAAAGTGCTGGGATTACAGATGTGAGCCACTGTGCCCAGCCTCAGGAGCATTTTAAAGGAAGAACTGGATATGGCAAGTGATTGGATGTGAAGGGACAAAGAAGAGGCATTATACTTGACTCAGTATCTGGGCATCAAAACTAACCTGGTGCGGTTTCTCATGCCTGTAATCCTAGCACTTTGGGAGGCTAAGGAGGGAAGATCACTTGAGCCCAGAGGCAACATAGGGAGACGCTGTCTCTTGTTTTTCTTTTTCTTTTCTTTTTTTTTTTTTTGAGATGGAGTCTCGCTCTGTCAACCAGGCTGGAGTGCAACGGCATGATCTCGGCTCACTACAACCTCTGCCTCCTGGGTTCAAGCGATTCTCCTGCCTCAGCCTCCTGAGTAGCTGGGATTACAGGCACTCGCCCCCATGCTCGGCTGATTTTTCTTTTTTTTTTTTTTGAGACGGAGTCTCACTGTGTCACCCAGGCTGGAGTGCAGTGGTGTGATCTCGGCTCACTGCAACCTCTGCCTCCTGGGTTCAAGTGATTCTTCTGCCTCAGCCACCTGAGTAGCTGGGACTACAGGTGCGTGCCACCACACCCGGCTAATTTTTGTATTTTTAGTAGAGACGGGGTTTCACTATCTTGGCCAGGCAGTCTTGAACTCCTGACCTCATGATCCGCCTGCCTTGGCCTCCCAAAGTGCTGAGATTACAGGCGTGAGCCATTGCACCTGGCCTAATTTTTGTATTTTAAGTAGAGATGGGGTTTCACCAAGTTGGACAGGCTGGTCTGGAACCCCTGACCTCAGGTAATCCACCTACCTCGGCCTCTCAAAGTGCTGAAATTACAGGCGTGAGCCACAGCACCTGGCCCTCATTTTTCTAATAATTAAAAAAATTACACTGGGTGTGGTGGCTCATACCTGTAATCCCAGCACTTTGGGAGGTTGAAGTGGGCGGATCACTTGAGGTCAGGAGTTTGAGAACAGCCTGTCCAACATGGTAAAACCCTGTCTCTACTAAAAATGCAAAAATTATCCACGTGTGGTGGCAGGCACCTGTATTCCTAGCTACTCGGTAGGCTGAGGCAGGAGAATCACCTGAACCTGGGAGGCAGAGATTGTAGTGAGCTAAGATCGTGCCACCGCACTCCAGCCTGGGCAACAGAGTGAGACTCTGTCTTTTAAAAACAAACAAAAAATTAGCCGGGCATGGTGGTGTGCACCTGTGGTCCCAGCTACTCAGGAGGCTGAAGCAAGAGGATTGCCTGAGCCCAGAAGGTTGTGGCTGCAGTGAGCCTTGATCGCAACACTGCACTCCAGCCTGGGTGACAGAGCGAAACCCTGTCTCAAAAAACAAAAACAAAAGCAAAAACAAAATTAGTCTGAATATTAAGTAAAACAGGGAACTCGGGAAGGAGAGCTGATTCCAGAGTAAGGAATGACTTTGGTTATCAATTTGGTGCATTCATGAGGCTGGGGAGGGGGATATTTTTAAAGAAGTAGCTGCTAAGCCTGGATCTCAGCTGAGGGATTGCTCAGTGTAGAAGCCAGGAAAGCTCAGGAGAAGGGTAGGTAAAAGTAAGGAGGGTCAGGGTGAATCTTGGAGCCCTGTTTCTTCCAGTGAGGTCTGATGGTTCCGGTAGCCTGCTGTCTGGGACCACCCTCTACTTACAATTCTGACTTTGTAATCATGCTTCCCAGGAGTTCTGAGGAACTTCCAAAGTTGGAGAATATCTGGCTCAGGGAGTAAGTACATTAGGAAGCTGGGAGAAGAGAAAACAGCTGAAACTGGGAGATTCTAGCTTCTGCAAGGGGGTAAAATAATGTTGAGAACTTTTTTGGTTTCTATGTGCCTTTTCTTCAGGTTCAAAAATCTGCTTCCTCTGCTGTTTCAACCAAGGGATCCAGTTAATGTCTCAGGAATATTTCTTTTTTTCTTTCTTTCTTCTTTTTAGACAGAGTCTTGCTCTGTCTCCCAGGCTGGAGTGCAGTGGCACGATCTCAGCTCATGGCAACCTCCACCTCCTGGGATCAACTGATTCTTATGCCTCAGCCTCCCAAGTAGCTGGGATTACAGGCACACCCCACCATATCTGGCTAATTTTTGTATTCTGAGTAGAGACAGGGCTTCACCATATTGGCCAGGCTGTTCTCAAACTGCTAACCTCAAGTGATCTGCCCACCTTGGCCTCCCAAAGTGCTGGGATTACAGGCGTGAGCCACCACGTCCGGCCTTCAGGAATATTTTTTCAAGGAAAAAAGTTTTGTAGTGCTATCTCCCTAGATCAAATGGAATCTGGTACTGTCTTCTTTAGATAGAGACGCTATAAAATTTGGCTATCAGTGAGTAAATATTAGAATGGCCAAGTTTGCCACTTAATTCATCCCAGAAGAGGAAAAATAATAGAAGTTGATTAAATATTTTAAAATTTAAAAATTTTTAAAAATTTGAGTATCAATACATTATTGCTTATAAATTTCATGACATTTTCATATATAAAGTAAAAAATTTTAATACCTTAAAAAATGAAAATCAAATAACTCTGTCTTTTCTACCTACTCCTCACCTTGAATCTTATTTATTAAACAGCTTTTCTCCTGAGTATAGTCTATGCCTCCCTTGTAGGCCTAAGAATCTACCACTGTTCTGCAAAGTAACCCGGAATGTAGGTTTTTCCCTTTGGTTTTTATCACTAACTGACATAGGAGTCAGTAAACTTTGCCATTTACTTCAAATGTCAGAACCATTTCTGGTAACCTAATAAGTGAGTTATTAAGGATTCTTTTTTTTTTTTTTTGAGATGGAGTCTCGCTCTGTTGCCCAGGCTGGAGTGCAGTGGCATGATCTCGGCTCACTGCAAGCTCCACCTCCCGGGGTTCACGCCATTCTCCTGCCTCAGCCTCCCGAGTAGCTGGGACTACAGGTGCCCGCCACCACGCCTGGCTAATTTTTTGTATTTTTAGTGGAGACGGGGTTTCACCGTGTTAGCCAGGATGGTCTCCATCTCCTGACCTCATGATCTGCCTGCCTCGGCCTCCCAAAGTGCTAGGATTACAGGCATGAGCCACCGCGCCCGGCCCAAGGATTCTTCAACTTTACATAGGATACTATTTAGAATACAAATCAATACGCATAAGCTCATAGTCTTCTCTTTTGTAGTAATTAACAAGCACTTCCCATACATTTCTTTGCAACTCTTTGTTACCACAAAGTGGTTTTCCACTAGGAAAAATAGGTTAGGTGGACTATGATCAAAATCATGTGAGACCACTGCTCTAAATTATTACAAATCCTACCTTATGCATTAAGTATCAATGTAAATTTCACAATTAAGACCTCTTTATTCTATAAAATATATAAGAGGATACCCAGAAACAGTCCCATAGAAAAGCAAGTGATTAATTCAGCATGTTATATGCTGCTATAATCAGTCAAAATATGTCTTCGAATGCAATCTAAGCCAACAATATAAAAAAAGTCAGAGGCAGTGAACTAAGGACCTACTAAGAGTACAAAACGAAGTCACAAGTAATTTCACCCTTGACGCCTAGCACACCCCTTGCTTCTGTTCTTGTTCTCTATTCTTAGCATCTCTCTGAGGTTTATTAATGGTTCCTGGATCTCCCAGCTGGAGCTTCTGCTGAATCCAAGGCACTACCCTTATCAAAAGAAAGAGATGTGAGAAGTAAAACGGATACAGACAAATTTAAAAATAAAAAGAAAACAACAGAAATGACCACAATGTGAAAGAGTAACAAAAACTACAAACAGAAAAGGTATTAGAGAGTTACTGACAAAATAAACGGCATGAGAAAAAGTAATACAGACTTTTTAAAAGACCAAAAAAAAAAAAAAAAAAGAGGATGAACCTACAAGCACTAAGGGATTTAAAGCCGTCCATTTCTAACATGTAGTTTGTGAAAATGTTAGCATTGGAGGAATGTTAATTGAATTGTGAACAATTTCACTTAGGGTCCAGTTATATCCTTGGGGACAAAAGATAAATTTTCATTTAACCAGGCCAACTACCAATTTACAGGAAACAAAACGGCAAATGAACATGGTAAATGACACCACAGGGATACAGTCATCAAAATCCAGACTGGGAAACCTTCCACAAACAAATTGTAAGGCAAAAAAAAAAAAAAAAAGACTAAGAGGAATCTATATTTTAAAATAGATTAAAAAGACACAGCAACAAAGTAACAATTTGTAAACTTTATTTGGATCCTCATTCAAATAAATAAATATAAAAACAAGGATGATCTTTATGGGAAAATTAGGAAGTTAAACACTGACTAGATATGTATATACACATATTTTTAGAGACAGGGTCTCACTATGTTGCCCAGGCTGCATTCAAACGCCTGGGCTCAAGCGATCCTCCTGCCTCAGCTTCCCAAGTAGCTGGGATTACAGGCACATGCTGCCATGCCCAGCTTAGATACTTAATAATATTTAAAAATTACTGTTAATAATTTAGATAGGTGATAATGGTGTTGTAGTTATTTAAGATTCTTTATTTTTCAGAGACGTAAACTAAAATACTTATGAATAAAATAATATCTAGGATTAAAAATAATTCCAGGGGTTGCAGCACAGATAAAACAGGATCAGTTATGAGTAGACAACTGTTGAAACTGGATAATGGAATCCTGAAGGTTCATTATACTAGTCTCTCAATTTTGGTATTTGGACTTTTCCATACACACACACACACACTCACACACACACTCACACACACACTCACACACACACATGCAAGGATGGATGTTAGTGCAAACTCTTGACTGGGAATTCAAATGTAGCCAATGACAACAGTCAAAATGTACATGCCAGCCCTAAGGACAGCTCCTAAATATTATAGTTCTAATAGGTAAATAAAGGCAACAAATCAATAGGAATGAAGAAAAGAAAACACTCTGACATGGTCCTAAAGTTAATTGAAAAATGCTGATTTCCTAACTGGTGTAGATTAAAAGCTTTTTATTTACATTTCTAGGTCTGTGATGCACGTGAGTTGTGACAGGTGTTGTCCTTACAGCTCGGCTGTTTTGATGTGTGTGTATGAAGACACTTAACATACCATTATCAAATTGCAAATGTGCTGAGAAAATTCAATAAAACAGGGTGGTAAGGCAAGTTCAGGTACTCACCAGCACTACATTCCTGGGCTACTAGGTTAAGAACTTCAACAGCTGCTGGACATTGTTGTATGAATTCTTCACAAAATAAGCTGTCTTCTAAAAGCTGGGCCATGACCAGGCATGCTCTTAATGTTAAAAGATTTACAATATTTCAAAGTCATCAGTGTTCATTGTCTAAAAAAGTCAACTGTGAAAAACATTTCAATCAATTTTGCCCCCCAGTTTACAACAAGGTTCAAACACCCCACTCATCTTGCTTTTTTTTTCTGAGCTGGACTGTCTTGGAAATATATAAATAACTTCTCTTTTGCCACACAGTAACTGCTGACACTGCATGAAGAATTGGAAAAGAGAAAAATGGTTGCCATCACCACTAAATGGAGATACAAAGTGCCAGGTGAGAAATCAGCACTGTCTCTTAAAAGCTTTTCCTAACTTTGCCCTAGGGAAGCAAGAGGGATTCAAAAAGTGGGAAAATCTGTATGGCGATCGCTCTCACCTGATTCAAAATACACACTAGACGTTTCTAAGAAGTGTCATTGTTGGCCGGGCATGGTGGCTCACGCCTGTAATCCCAGCAATTTGGGAGACCAACGCAGGTGGATCACCAGAGGTCAGGAGTTTCAGACCAGCCTGGCCAACATGGCGAGACCCCATCTCTACTAAAAATATAAAAATTAGCCAGGAGTGGTGGTATGCGCCTGTAATCCCAGCTACTCAGGAGGCTGAGGCAGGAGAATCGCTTGAACTAGGGAGGCAGAGGTTGCAGTGAGCTGAGATCATGCCACTGCACTCCAGCCTGGGTGACACAGCAAGACTCTGTGTCCAAAAAAAAAGAAGTTTCATTGTCAAAAAGAGACACCTGTTACTGCTGTTTAACGCTAAATAAATGTATTTGCAGGAAAAGACCAACACCAACCCCTGTGTGCATGTCCTAGTTTTCCCATCATCAGTTTGGAAAGTGATAGGCCAGATATGTATCAATGTGGCCTGAACCATTTTATTTATTTAATTATTTATTTGAGATGGAGTTTCGCTCTTGTTGCCCAGGCTGGAGTGTAGTGGCACCATCTCGGCTCACTGCAACCTCTGCCTCCCGAGTTCAAGCGATTCTCCTGCCTCAAGGTAGTAGAGTTATTCCTGTGATGGAACAGAGTTCTTTTAACAAAGCAAATCAGTGGAGCCTTATGTATGTGTTTCATACATCACATTTCATTTGTATGCTAAACTTTATTTTGAAGTGTAGACATTGGGGAACGCAACAAAAATTGAAGAAATTAAGGAATGCAACGAACTATGGTAAAAACTGTAAAAGAATGGTTACTGTTGCTCAGTTTAGTGTGAGCTTCAAGCTGTGGATTCACTAAGTTGGGAGTGGAGGGGCCCACCAAGGATCCCTTCTTCTGTCAGCTTGCACCATGTCAGCACATAAGGCAATGTGGGGAGGGTACTCACCTTGTCCTTATTTCAGCAAGGAGCCGAACGACTGCCATCACAGGAGCTGACCCATCTCCTGTTGCAGGAAGTGAGGTGTGAATAGAGAGACTTCCCTCCTGAGGAAGCAACATGGACTGGACTGCCTGTACTACCTTCTCAGTAATGGACAGTTTATGAAGAGGCAATGCCTGATGGCGGTGGGGGGGCATGGCAAAAAGTTAAATTCAAGTAGTTAGTTTATAAGAAATGAGGGTGTTATTATTATCTGGAGTTAATTCTTAAATTTTCAGTTAAAAAAATAAAATCACCATACAGAAAACTACAAACCACATCAAAACAATTAAAAATACATTGTAGAAGAGCCCTAACCAACAAAGAAATGAATTTGGTCATCTAGATGAAAATTTTCACATAAGCATTACTATTAAATAACTATAACCAATACATAAATATACATCACAAGTACAATTTAAGATAATCAAGCATTTGTGCTTCTGCACTGAGCATGTGCATAGACTCATTACAGTACAGTTACCATTGGCAGACATTTTACAAAGCATTTAAAAATCACCTTACCTCTGATCTTGGAACACAAAGTCTAGACAATGGAATAGTCAATGTGTCTGACGCTTGCGAAGTCTTTCTACAGTCTATGGGTGGGAATCTGACTGTAGCTATACCTTCCTGTTCATTGATAGAAGCCACTACTCCAATGCTTCCTGAAATTCCTCTACCTAAAACCTGGAGACAGACATAGATTAGCACTACCAACCAGCTCTGACGTGTGGGCAGCTGTCTTACGAGACAAGAGGAAAAAGTAAATTTATAGTTGTCATTGTTGGCGTTACAGTAATAGTTTATACTACTAGGGTAGCAGATACCAAGCCCTAGACATGACTTATAATAGGCCCTAAAACCTAACTGCAAGGTGATCACAACATGCTGTCATCTCAAATAGAAACTCGTTACTGCTAGGCCAGGTGTGGTGGCTCATGCCTGTAATCACAGCATTTTGGGAGGTTGAGGCAGGTGGATCACTTGAGGTCAGGAGTTCGAGACCAGCCTGGCCAGCCTGATGAAATCCCATCTCTATTAAAAATACAAAAACTAGCCAGGCAAGGTGGTGGGCACCTGTAATCCCAGCTACTTGGGAGGCTGAGGCAGGAGAATCATTTGAACCCGGGAGACAGAGGTTGCAGTGAGCTGAGATTGCACCATTGCACTTCAGCCTGGGGAACAGAGCAAGACTCTGTCTCAAAACAAACAAACAAACAAACAAACAAACAAACAAACTTGTTACTGCTGTTTAATGGTAAATAAATATTTGCAGGAAAACACTGTTTTCCTTCCATTCTAATTCCATCATCAATTCTAAGACTGATACTGATCACACTACAGGACACAAGTATTGTAGTTAACCTAAGACAGTATTGCATTAATATCTGAATAATGTGTGGCACAGTGTGGATTTGAATTCAAGAATTTCTCAGATTCCTTATTTAGCTTGAAGAAACAGGTTTTTTTGTACAGCTGGTTGGATAATACTTGTCTTACAGATGATCAATTAATTAATGGATGCTTATATATATGGGGGAAGCAATGATTTGGGGAACATGGTGGTTGGTACCTGAACCTCGGATCCTATCTTGATTGTCTCTTTGAAGCCTCCAAGTGCACACAGTGCGGCAACGGCCTGGCGTGCAATTCTCTGAAGTTTGGCAAGTTTCCTGCCACTGCTGCTGCCATTTTCCAGAATGCTTTCTGCGTATTTCCCCAATTGTGGAATGTACATCAGTGCTCTAGACAGAACCTAAATATAGAAGCAGCCCGTGCACTAGGAGTTAAAGCTTTGGTTGTTTTGATGCCAAGGGTGATAAAGTGTCTACAACAGTGCCTGGGTCCCATGTATTGAAGGAACTCTGGACATGTGAGGGACCAAAAAACTATCAGGTATGGCCAATGACATCTGCCCATATTTGTCTATGTAACTGGACAAAATTGGAAATACACAACTGGGAGAATCAAACATCATGTCACTAAAACCTCTAAAATGAAACAATCATTTATCTGAAGGAAAACCATCCCAGCATACTGTCCACTTGGCAACACTCAGTTACCTTCAGGACATGTCATAAGGGGTTCATTTGAAGAGTGGCTGTGGAAAGGGGGAATTGCTTACAGATCCGTAGTTTCAGGCAACTGGACTACTGTTTGTAATGATGAATCACTTACTGACAGGGCACTCAGGCAGTGTAAATCACGCAGAGGCCTCCTTGGACTTAGTGAGTACACTTAAATCCAATAAACCAACACTGCATGATCTCCTAATGTCAGTACCAATCTAACATAAGCAAGAAGAAGAGAAACAAGGCCTGTCACTCTTTCCCTGAGAATACTGTCCTATCGTCTGCAAAATGAGAACCGGGAGTGACAGGTGATATAGGTTAACAGAGTTGAAAGTACTACAGTAAAGCAACTTCCAGGGGAAAGTCAGTTAACAGGTATCTGATGAATTTGGAAAATTTCTCTTTACTGAAATGCCCCTTGCTGGGTATGATTCTAATTCTAATTAGCTTACTTCTTATTTTCTCAGTTGAGTAGCAACACTGCGCTAACCTTCTCTGCTGTTGTGGTCCATATTTGAGCAGCATTTGATTCAGGTGCCATGAGCAAGCTATGTAGCAAGGCGATCACTTCTGCAGCCATGCTGTTTGCCACATGCCCACTGATGAAGGGACGCACAGGATCAGTCCTGCAAGTGTCAACAGGAAAAAGTGTCAGTGCCCAGTGATGGTTAAGACTGCAGGGAAGTGGCTTTCAGGGTTAGCATCAGAGGAAAACCTTTTCTTTTTATACAAGAAAAAGTGGATTCCATTGACCGAGAAAACAAGAAGCTACATTATCATTAGGAAGAAATCACTGTGTCATATTCTTTGTGGTATCTGAAGAACTGCCTCAAACAATGGACCTCAAACTTTATTTATAAGCCATGAGGATCAGGGAAAGACACTGCATTGCAACTATTCCTGGCTTTCAAGCACAAAACACCTCGAACCAACTTCACAGAGGCAACACTTAACTGCTGCTTCTGCTCCTAGAAAGAAGTTTGTGTTCAGTTGGGGCAGTGGAGATGTACCATTTGCAAGAAATAAAGGTAGCAAGACCAGAGTTTATTAATACTACTCAAAAGAATCCTCTGGCTATAAATGTCCCCTCAGCCAGGAGCATCCCTCTATTCTTTCATGACAACCTCAGATCTACCTGGATGGTCATTACTCCCCGACGTACTCCAGGCTGTACCTTGAGTGCAACTACTACAGCAGATGGCGGCCTCATTTCCAAGAGGTCAAGGGGATGGTAGAAAATTAAAAAGCTAAAAACAAACCCATTATAAAGTAAACCTGAGATGAGTGTGGACAGCTCCTACCTGTGGAAGGTTTACCTTGCAAGCTCCGAGTTCCTCTCTCGGCAAATGGAAGTTTGGGCAGTTTTCTTTTTGTCGCCTGTGGATAGTCCACTCACAGTCTCTGGGTTGATAGACTCTACAGGTGGCCCAATGCTGACGATGAGGCCTGACTGTGCCCACTTGGTGGCTTTCCGCAGGGCGGCTGCAGCCTCTTCTGTAATCACTTCGCAACAGCCACCCTGGGGTGAGGTTGAAGACGCTGAGAAGATTCATTTCAGTCTTCCCAGCACTATATTTTTCAAGTCTATTTCCCCTCAATTACCAAAGCAATCCACACTCATTTTTTTTTAATTCAAACATAAAATATTATATGTAGAGTAAAATTTCCATAGACATCCCAGGCCTCATCCAGGCTGAGATAATGGTTAGTCATCTAGATAACTTCTGTGCAAATTCTGGCATACGTATCACAGGGCCCCGACACAGACTGCATTTCATTTTGCTTTTATCAGTTATCAGTGTATCGCGGAGACTCTTCCACATCAATACACAGAGATCTACCTCATTGTTTTTCATAGTTGCACAGCATTTCATTATATGACTGTAATAATTTCTTTAACCAATCCCCTCTTTATGAGTATGTGGATCCTATTTTCTGTTTTTGTTTTGTTCGAGATTGAGTCTTGCTCTGTTGCCCAGACTAGAGTGCAGTGGTGCGATCTCGGCTCACTGCAACCTCCACCTCCCAGGTTCAAGCGATTCTCCTGCCTCAGCCTCCCAAGTAGCTGGGATTACAGGAGCCTGCCACCACGTCTGGCTAATTTTTGTATTTTTTAGTAGACAGGATTTTGCCATGTTGGCCAGGCTAGTCTCAAACTCCTGACCTCAGGTGATCCACCTGCCTTGGTGTCTCAAAGTGCTGGGATTACAGGCGTGAGCCACAGTGCCTGGCCTATTTTGTTTGTTTTTTCAAACAAAACTGTGAAGAACACCCTGTGTGTCTCTCCCTGGACACTTGAGACTTTATTTACCCTCACCTTGACAATAAAGGGTATTACTAATCTTTCTTGACTTGTCTGACAGATGAAAAATGATATATTACTATTGTTTTTATTCCTTTCCTTTAATTATTTGTGAGCCTGGGTATATTTTTATATTTTTAATAAGGTATTTGTAATTCTTATTATCTGTTATTTTCTTAGCAACCTTTCACCTATTTTCAACTATCTCACCTATCTCAAACTATTTTTAGGCTATTAAACTATTTTCAACTTCAAATTATTAAACTTTCTTAAAAGAGCTAAGAAAAAATTTCTAGGTCAAAACTAAAAGTTTTGATTTTGACAAACTGACTTTAACTAGTTCTCTTTAAAATGGCCTCAGTTAAGGCACTGACTTCAATTTCTCACCTTGCCTCTTCGTTGGAACTTGAACTAATTTTTTGTTTTCTTAATTTGTTCTGAAAATCTAAAGCATGACAAATACTCTACAATTTCGGGTTTCATCGTTTTAACCTCATGAGGTTACCTTGGTCATGTCTCGATCCATCTTCACAACTTTCTCCATGTTGGCGCCAGTACCAAGTCGGAAGGGCCGTCCTTCTGAACTACTGAAAAAAGGCAGGCAGAGAACACAGCACACCTTACAGGCACTGCCAAAAGTGGGCTGCATGCCATGGGGTCACCCAGTCATGGTGAGGCCCTATTATACACTAACATTAGCTTACACTAACATTAGCTTTTTTTTTTTTTTTTTTTTTTTTTGAGACAGGGTGTTGCTCTTTCACCCAGGCTGGAGTGCAGTGGCGTGATCACAGCTCACTGCAGCCTCGATCTCCCTAGGTTCAGGTGATTCTCCCACCTCAGCCTCCCAAACAGCTGGGACCACAGGTTCATGCCACTATGCTTGCCTAATTTTTGTATTTTTTGAAGAGATGGGATCTCACTATGTTGCCCAGGCTGGTCTCGAACTCCTGGGCTCAAGCCATCCTCCTGCCTTGGACTCCTAAAGCACTGGGATTACAGGCATGAGCCACCATGCCTGGACCTCTAACACTAGCTTTTAAAATCCACAATTTAAGACTCAATTTTTCAAAAAGGAAATAATTTATTACTGCTTAATTATAGCACTTTAGGGCCCAAAACAACAGCGTTTTTAGAGTTGTAAGGGTATCTAGAAATCCAGATGAAAATAATGCACAAAATGAAAAACTGACATGAACCCAGAACAAAAGCAGGGCCTGAGGACATCATCTAAACCCCAAGGAGAGGGAACTTTAACGACACCATAGATGTGATCCCTTGGCGAATGACATCTATTAGAAAGGAAGATTACAGGCGTGAGCCACAGCGCCTGGCCTATTTTGTTTGTTTTTTTCAAACAAAACTGTGAAGAACACCCTGTGTGTTTCTCCCTGGACACTTGAGACTTTATTTACCCTCACCTTGACAATAAAGGGTATTACTAATCTTTCTTGATTTTACTTGTCTGACAGATGAAAAATGATATATTACTATTGTTTTTATTCCTTTCCTTTAATTATTTGTGAGCCTGGGTATATTTTTATATTTTTAATAAGGTATTTGTAATTCTTATTATCTGTTATTTTCTTAGCAACCTTTCACCTATTTTCAACTATCTCACCTATCTCAAACTATTTTTAGGCTATTAAACTATTTTCAACTTCAAACTATTAAACTTTCTTAAAAGAGCTAAGAAAAAATTTATTAGTGTTCCTTTCTAATAGTTCTTCTTCCCCTGCCTCCTGAACTTGGTTCTCCAAAAAAAATCTTTCATCAAATTTGTACAATGATGCATTGCAATGTCCAGGAATGTTTCTTGGAGATTTCCTCATATAAGCCCTGACCTGCCATAATCCCGCTTAGTTTACACCATGGTCCCATTAGTGTTTTCAGTTGCCATAATGGCAGACAGGGGATTCAATTATGAGGATGACAACATCGTCAGATCATTTAAGTAAAGAGAGGCCTCTTCAATCTGAGACATAAATACCTGCTCTGAATTCCCCTGTGCTATGTGGCAAGCCTTCCTGTTGCCCTGGATCCCACTAACAAAGCCCTGCAGGTTTGTAATATTTGGGCAATGACTATATTTTTACTTTCTTCTTGAGTAATCACACCATTTCATACTTCAACTAATTAAAGATTTAAAAAAGTGTCTCTTGTTTCTCCAACTCACAGTCAATGAGTTGGAGTTTACCTAAATTTACCAACAGCTGAAGGATGCCAACAACTAAAAATCAAATGGCATTATTCCTTCTCAAAGCCCAAGTCACACTGGAGGCTTCCCATAGACAATAATACATCGTCCACATGGCTTTAGCTCTCAGTTGCACTTAGAGAGACAGTACCAAGTTGTGGTTCAGAGCTTGGGTTCTATGGTCAGAGAAGACTACATCTGCATTTCAGCTCTGCCTCAGTTTCTTTCTGTGTCACCACAGGAATCACAGTGACAGTGTCTACCTGAAAGGGGTGTAAAGAGGGCCGAGGCAGTCGATACATGTACAGGGCTTACTTAGCACAGTGCCTGTGACATGGGTGGTGCTTGAGGATGTGTAGCTATCACAATCATTATGGTCACCTTAGCAATGGCTGGAGGACTTCATGGGATGACTGGTCTTCCCGCTTGTGGATAAATATCGAGAGCTTGCCATCCACAGCCTCACTCTCTTCTCCAGGATCTTTATCTCCTTTCAAGGAATTCTTGGGACTGGTTTTTGTCAATGTGGTGTCAGGTTCAGAAGCGGTTGGAGAAAGAACTGTCTGACATCCTTTAAGCAAAAAACAAAGCTCATTCAGGAAAACTGCAGTGTTGTTTTGGCGGCTCTGCTAAAATGAAAAATAATGGTTTGGGATTTGGAATCTTTCTTCCCCCTTCTCTATTCCTGTCCCCGCTCCCTTCTCTGTCACTCACTCTTTCATCATAGGAAGCACAGATGCAAGGGGGACCTGACTGGGCACAGGAATGCTGCACTGCCATGCTACTCTCCTGTTGAGGAGCTTCTCACCTGGAACCACATAATCTGCCAGCTTTGCTAAGAGCAGGGAGGCGATCTTGGAAGCTGGGTCGCTGGGATCCTCCTGCTCACTGTTTAAGGAGGGGACAGAGTAGCTCCAGGGTGGGAGCTCCACGTTTCCACAGTCTTCTACGCTCATCAGGGGCAGCGCCGCCCGGCACAGCTGGAGAATAATAAGGACTAGCTTTGGAGACGGGCGTTGGTCAAGCAGCAGGGAGAGGAGTTTGGACACACAAGCTGGCTGGCTCAGGATGGCTTTACCTATGTGGCTCCTGGGAAAAAAGGAAGAAAAGGTACACAGTGCTAGAAATGTTGATCTATAGACATTCAGAAGCAAGAGTTCTCTGAATGAAACAAACCAATGAAATCTGATTTCACGAGGAATCATGAATGTGGCACTATGCTTCTGTGAAGAATTAAGAATTTTGGAAACATTTGATGAAACCAAACAACACTAATACTTAAAAAGAAAGATTTTTGAATATTTTCTGATCTCTGATGTTTACTTGAGATCCTAAATTCAGAGTGATTCATGGAGCACTGAGACTTAGAAACTCAAACTAAGAGCTTTTCAGTTTGTCATTTATTCTTTCATTTTTTTAACGGGAAAAAAGACATACAAATTTATTTAACATGTATACACAGGAGCCTTCAGAGTGAAGACTCAATTTCCCATGAGTTACAGAAGCTTATCTACCATCTTGAGGTTACAGAAAGAATGGGGGCTTGGATCCTGGTAAACCAGGTTAAGGGAGAGGGGAGAAGCATTCTATAATAAATGATTGCTAGGGAGAATGACTGGATCTGGGAACAGAGATTAACTTGTAAATAGTTCTCTTTGGAATTTACGTTATTTATTCTTTCTTAATGAGTACCTCAAGACCAAAGCTATCATACAGTGTTTCATAGGCTTCAATGTTCTAGGATCTGCCACAGCTAAAACTGTTATATTCCAAGAAAGCTAAATAACATGCAGTCAGTCATATGTGGATATTTTATGGGCCTCGTGGCTCACACAGGGAGTATATAACCAGCACAGAGTATCTTCTTTTAAAGACACAGCATGAGAAAGTGAGTTAATTACAGGCCCTGACTCATTCCTCTTTAATCTTGCTACAATGAGGGTAAGATTTTTGGTTAATGAATACAACTGCATCTATGGGAAAGGTTAGCAGCTGCTGTCAGTAAGGTATTAAAGCAAATGATGATATATTATTTTATGATTTAGCTATTCACCTAAATAATCCTTATATTTTGGAACTAAATACTATGTTTCAATGACTTTATCCTCCATTATTTTTTTGAGGCAAGAGTGTGTCAAAATGGCCTAGTAATTTAGCTATTTTGAAAAGACAACCACCACCAAAAGAAACCCCAATCGTTCAAGAGGAAAGCCAGCTTCTCCCAGAGCTCCAGGCTGGACCTTGCATACCTTGAGAGATCATTGAGAAGACTAAGGACATCCTGGAGCGCGTCATTCCCAGCAGCCTGGTTGCCACAGCACTCTGTGGCTCGGGCAAGATGGTTAGTGAGAAGGCTGGACACCTGCCGGGCCAGACCTGAGTGCACAGCCTCTGTGGAGCCACCTTCACAGTTAAAGAAAGAAAAAAAGAGATTGGTGAAAACTTAAGGGTGCCATGGTGAGCCTGAGGGGGCGGCGAGCCCTGTCCATTTATCTTGCTTAATGTTTCATGAACCATCTAATAGTGTCTCCTCATTAGATAATGTCTACACATAAAAAGGATAATAGTTATTTTAAAAATAACTCAATGTGGGGGGTAGACATTACTATTAATGAAAATTGAATATGATTAATTCATACATAACCAAAGAACATACTTTGATTGATAGGGAAGAATCATTACTTCACCGGTGATGAAAACATCTTGATTTCTTAACTCATACTTTCCCAAACACAATAAAAGACCTTTCTGGATTCTTCCATGTTTACCATAGTTCCAGAACCTCCCAAGCATGTAAAAGTTATGAAAAAGTATTTGTTGTTTCCTGAACTTTCCATGCTCTTTTAGATCGCTGAGTCTACACACGCTGTTTGTTCTGCTCGAAAGTATTCTCCTTCCTTCAAGAGTAACTCCCGTGTCACCTTCTCTGGGAAGCTTTGCTGGATCCCTAGCACAGCTGGTCTCTGGGACCTCTACACTCCCACTGCACATCCTATCTACCTCAGTTGTGGCACTGATTACACTATAAGTATTTGCTTATTGGTCTATTTCCCTGTCAGACCTTTTTTTTTTTTTTGAGATGGAGTTTTGCTCTTGTTGCCCAGGCTGGAGTGCAATGGCATGATCTTGGTTCACTGCAACCTCCGCCTCCCAGGTTCAAGTGATTCTCCTGCCTCACCCTCCCTAGTAGCTGGGATTACAGGTATGTGCCACCATGCCCGGCTAATTTTGTATTTTTAGTAGAGATGGGGTTTCTCCATGTTGGTCAGGCTGGTCTCGAACTCCTGACCTCTGGTGATCCGCCCTCCTCAGCCTCCCAAAGTGCTGGGATTACAGGCGTGAGCCACTGCACCCAGCCTATGCCAGACCATATTTTTAAAGGGAGGAATAATGCCTTATTTATCTTTTGCCTGGCATATAATAGACTCTCAAGACATTAAAATGCATCGTGAACAAATAAACAGATAAATAAACAAGTTATACACACAGGCCTGGAATCTTATTGGGAAATTTATCCTTCAAGTTTACTTTTTTTTTTGAAACAGGGTCTCGCTCTGTTGCCCAGGGAGTGTAGTGGCACGATCACAGCTCACTGCAGCCTCGACCTCCCTGGCTCAAGCAATCTTCCCACTTCAGCCTTCTGAGTGGCTGGGACTATAGGCACGTGTCACTGCACCCAGCCCAGGTTTACTTTTTATTTGGATTGGTCACTAAAAATAAAATTTGGAAACATCACCTTGAAAATGCAACTGAAAAGCCACTTCAAAAAATATTTGTTTTTTTGAACGCCAAGGCGCGAGGACTGCTTGAGGCCAGGAGTTTGAGACCAACCTGGGCAACATAGTAAGATCCTGTCTCTAAAAACAAACAACAACAACAAAAAACCTTAGCTAGGCATGGTGAGTGCGCCTATAGTCCTACTTGGGAGGCTGTGGTCGGGGGATCTCTTATCATTTGAGCCAGGGAGGTTGAGGTTACAGTGAGCTATGATTGCACCACTGTACCCTAGCCTGGGTGACAGACCTTGTGTCTAATAAATTTTTTTTAATTAAAAAAATATATTTGGAAACTACTAGCAGTATTGACAAGGAGAGAATAAAAAATATCTTCTCAATTTCCTGGGATTACTGTACTCCTTCAGGGTACAGGGATATCATTCAGTCTCATCGTAATGCTGTAAGTTTTTATAAAACCACACTGAGGAAAAGTCTCTCATGAAATCATCCACTGATTTAACCCATCTGATCATGTCATTTAATAGAGGCTTTCTCTCTTTCATTTAGCATAAAAAAACCAATAAACTAACACACCAATAGAAGAAATCAGTGAGCTCTAGAAAGGAGTCTGGCATCTCACCTTCCTCTTTTTCCCACTCAACACAGCGGTTGGCAAGCACCTGGAAGGCAGCCCAGGCCATGGTGGCCACCTTCTGCTTCTTGGTCTGTTTCTCACTGGAGCTGGACTCGGTCTGATTGCTCAAGCTACACAGTCGATCCATGAGCTGCACAAGGCCACTGCGTACCAGGCACTTCTCTTCGCTCCTGACAAAGGGTCATGGATTACACTAGATAAACGTAACTGACCGACACTCAGGAAACTCTCATGTGAGGTTCAAAGGGGCATAAAACATGCTGGTGCAGCTCTTTCCCTACAACTTAGGATACTGCCATGTGCAATCAAACACAAAATGATTTTCTGATAATGATGATTCCCTTCATTAACAAGGAACTTCAAATTCTGGTTTGTTTATATACAGCAAAAATCGATGGAATCAACTCAATGTTGCCATGATGGAAAAAAATCATGTATTTTGTCCTAAGGGGATTCAATGAATGCTTGACATCTTCAAATTAGTAACTAAGTGACCCAAGAGAGGAAATAAATGTATATATGCAAAATATTTCTGCCAAATATGTAAGTAATTTCCTAGGGACCTTTTATTTTTCTTTGAACCTCTGTATCTTCACAATGTAATATAACCCTAATGGCTGCATTTAGTCATGTTGGAACTCAATAATAAGAAATTTACATAGGAACCTTAAGTGTCTTTCAGGAGAAAAGTTTTGTATAGCTAGCTCTGGATAATGAAAGCAAAAAATCCAATTTTTAAAATTAAAAATACTTTCACTTAATCGACTATACTGCAGGGTAACTTACATACAACAAAAGGCCTTTCCGTACTTACCTGGTGTAAGGTATGGTACATAAGAGTCCAATGCTATTTGCGCAAGCGATAGGGTAACGAGCACACAGAGACACAACAGAGGTCATGGTCTCGCCAAAGGCTTCCTGGACCTGCTCGACCATCCCACCACATGTGAGTTCTTCAATTCTGTGAAAGAGAAACCAAAGCTCAGGCTTCCTGAACCATGTCAAGAACAGTGGCTGAGCAGGAGAGGCCTCTTGAGAAACTCTAGAGTATCTGGATGAATCCAGAACTGAAGGGATCTTGGAGAACATCCAGCTCAGTGTTTCCTAGACTATGCAAGACTGCTGGACAGAAGTTTTAGGTGTGCCTCCAAAACAGCGGTCCACACTCCAGAAAAGTCTAGGAAATCCTGGGTTAGGGAAATTAAAACAGACTACTGTAGGACTTTTCAGAGCCTTCAGTAAGGGTAAAGCGAATGGCCTCTCCACAAGCAGGGGACATTCAACATTTTCCAAACTTATTTGATCATGAAACCAGTTATTTCAGACATGTCTACAATAATCTAAGTAGCACTGAATACTGTAAGTGCTTTTTCTTTTCTTTTCTTTTCTTTTTTTTTTTTAGAGACAGGGTCTTGGTCTGTTACCCAGGCTGGAGTGCAGTGGTACGATCACAGCTCACTGCAGCCTTGATCTCTTGGGCTCAGGTGATCCTCCCACCTCTGCCTCCCAAGTAGCTGGGACCACAGATGCACACCACCACATCCAGCTAATTTTTTTGACTTTTAGTAGAGATGATGTTTCGCTATGTTGCCCAGGCTGGTTTCAATCTCCTGAGCTCAAGTAATCCTCCCACCTCGGCCTCCCAAAGTGCTGGGATTACAGGCCTGAGCCACTGTGCCTAGCCAAGGCAGTTTTATTAATGAGACAACTAAGGCTCAAATGGATTAGCTAAGTGTCTGTTTTTGAGTTCACACTTCAGTTATTAGCAGAAGATGAAAGCCTAGTTGATATAAAATAAAACTTTCCCAATGCAAAACACAACATAGGGCCGATTCTATACCAATTAATATTAGTTTAGAACTGAAACTATCAGGATTTATCTACAAAGACATGCAACATAGTATTGTTTATAAAAGCAAAAACAAGAAAAACTAACCTAATGTTCAAAAATAGGGAATTTGTTAAAGTTTCAAGCATATAGCTACAGAACCACTAAGAACACTACGGGAGACATCTACAGTTAGAACACAGACACTAAAGTGTTAACAGAATGTTATTTTAAGAGGGTGTACTTGTAGGTGATTTTCATTGTATTTTTTGGCATTTTCTACATTTTTTTTTCAAGTTTCTGACAAATGACAATAATCGAGGGAAAAGGAATAGTGCTGCCAGTTTTATGGAGAAATTAAATTCTGGAAATAGGCTGTGGTAATCATTAGGGCTTTTCCCTATTTCTTTCTGGGCACCCTGTGGTTGGCTGGGCAGTGACAAGTCTGGTCAATGAGCCAGAGTTCTGACAAGGAGCCTGGCAGCTCTTGAGGTGATGGTTTCCTCTTCTGTGATTACCATGAGCCAGCATGAACCCATCATGAACAGAAGCAAGACCTAAAATTTTGTCTTCTTCATTTTTTGTGACAAGGTTTTGCTCTGTTGCCCAGGCTGAAGTGCAGGGTGGTGCGATCACAGCTTACTGCAGCCTCAAGCTCCTGGCCTCAAGCGATCTTCCTGCCTCAGCTTCTCCAGTAGCTGGGACCACAGGCATGCCCCACCACTACGGCTAATTTTTTCCTTTTTGTAGAGACAGGGTCTCACTATATTGCCCAGGCTGGTCTTGAACTCCTAGCCTCAAGTGATCCTCCTGCTTTGGCCTCCTTAAGTGCTGGGATTATAGGTGTGAGACACTGGGCCCAACAAAATTTTGTCTTTTAAGCCACTTAAATTTTGGACTTGTTTCCAAATAATAGTCTGACCTCTCCTGTACTCCCAGCTACTTGGAAGGCTGAGGTGGGAAGATCTCAAGATTTCTCAAGATACTCACTTCAGCTCTTAATTAACCCATTTTCCTCCAGCCACTGAACCCTCTCTGCCTGTTGGCCAGAATTCCTCAAAGAACTGTCAGGAAGCACAGCAGCCTCCAGCAGCTCCAGTCCAGGGCTTGCAGAGAAATGCATTTTCTATTTCTATTTGAAGATTTTTGAAGCCCAATAGGAAACTCATATAGAACAACTCACAAATGAGTTATAAAATCATCTTCAGAGTTAGTATCTATGATTACATTTTTAGAAATTGGTTCAGTAATAACAGTTATGGAAATGTATAAAAATATAGGCAGAAGGAGGTTGTTAATGCAAAAACAAAACAAAGCAAAAACAAAAGCAATAAAGACAAATGAACCTATGTGTCCGTCAGCAGAGGATGTGTTAATTTTTTTAGAAAAGGTCATCTATATAATGTATATCTATGAGCTCTTAAAAATCTTAAAGCAGCCAGGTGTGGTGGCTCATGCCTTTAATCCCAGCAGTCTGGGAGACTGAGACAGGAGGATCCCTTGAGCCCAGAAATTTGAGACCAGCCTGGGCAACATGGCAAGACCCCATCTCTACAAAAAATAAATACATTAGCTGGGCATGGTGGTATGCGCCTATAGTCCCAGCTACTTGGGAGGCTGAGGTGGGAAGATCGCTTGAGCCTGGGGAGGTCAAGGCTGCAGTGAGCCATGATCACGTCATTGCATGCCAGCCTGGGTGACAGAACGAGAATCTGCTTAAAAAAAAAAAAAAAGGCTGGGCACGGTGGCTCATGCCTGTAATCACAGCACTTTGGGGGGGCCGAGGCAGGCAGATCACCTGAGGTCGGGAGTTTGAGACCAGCCTGGCCAACATGGTGAAACCCCATCTCTACTAAAAATATAAAAATTAGCCAGGTGTGGTGGCATGTGCCTGTAATCCCAGCTACTTGGGAGGTTGAGACACGAGAATCACTTGAACCCGGGAGGCAGAGGCTGCCATGAGCCAAGATCGTGCTGCTGCACTCCAGCCTTGGTGACAGAGTGAGACTCTGTGTCAAATAAAAAAAAGATAAAGCAGACCAGACCTATATGTGCTGATATGAAAACACAGATATCTGAGATATCTAAGACATACTGAGCAAAACAACCATGGTTATAGAAAGGCATGGATAATATAATCTGAATTAAGTTGAAAAAAATTTACACACAAACACAGTTATGTGTACAAAAAGAATTATACAGCTGCTTATGCATGTATGGTTGCTGTAATGAGCTCTTAATGGACAGAGTGGAATTCAGGAGAAGAAGGTGAATACTGAGAGTTTTACGTTCTATTAATATGTTGAGTTTTTTGCAAGATCATGTACCACTTTTATATAAATATTTTAGAGGAAAACATTAGCAAATACTACCGCCTATGTTTGGGTCCCAAGAATAATCTTTTGAATGGCTCTGACCATTCTAGAAAGGACAGTATAAACTAACAGAAACAACTAACCTGGGTCCTCCCTGAAGGACCATCGTCACTGGACCCACAAGATGCGTCACTCCCCCGACTCGTACGGCAGCTGTCAGCAATTCCCGCATGTGCACCAGTGCCTGCTTGCGAGTGTTTCCCCGCCGCCACCTTGTCTGTGCAGCCAAAAGGAAACTGCTGCTGGACACCTGAAACACACAAGGAGGGACACCTGACTCCTGCTAACTGCCGCAAGACCCCGCATGCTGTTAGGTGCTATTCATCTGGAGCCCGCAAAATGTGACGTACAGCTTGGTCAGGGTTGGTGCCGATGAAAGCAAACAGCTGCCCTAGCAGGACACTGTAGGTGGGCTTGTCCCTGCTGTCCTCAATGGCCAGCGACTGCAGGAGTGTAAAGGAGCTGCTGCGGTGGCTGGTCACGTGGCGACGCCTACGGGGAACACAGAACAGACTGGCAAGACGAGAAACACACTCAGGGAGCTTGTTTTGATGAATGCATTCAGCTGCATGTGGGAACCCAACCCCGGCCATTAGCCATTTACCTCTGATTTGCTCTAGTAAATTCCAAATCTTCATTACCAATCATTTCCAGGTCAGAAGGAGCTGACATGCTGCGAAGAAAAACAGGCTGCCTGACAGCGTGAGATATCACTTTTGTTTCAGAAGCTGATTTACAAGCTAGAAAAAAAAGGAATAAAAAGGCTGACATTTCTGCTATCTGTACAACAGCCAAATGCAACACAGAACTACCCAACAGTCTAAGTGTATCTTTGCTTTCTATCACAGTTCAGCCACCAATCTAGCTAGCACAGCATACTGATGGTTTTTACATCAATTTTTTAACCTAAGTATTAGGTTAAAAATTATTTTAACTTAAAAAAATTAAAATCTTTTTATTAAATTGGTTTTCCAAAGAAAAGCTGAAAAATTCATTGAATTTCATAGCTATCCATGTTCACTTTAATGTAAGCATTCTAAAAAGCAATGGAGGACATAGAAAGTATTGCCGAAAATCACAAATTTCTTTTTTTTAATTTTTCAATTTCTTATTTTTTTAAGATGGGTCTCGCTCTGTCACCCAGGATGCAGTGCAGTGGTGTGATCTCAGCTTTCTGCAACCTTCATCTCCCAGGTTCAAGCAATTCTCCTACCTCAGCCTCCCAAGTAGCTGCGATTACAGGCGTGCACCACCACGCCCAGGTAACCTCTGTATTTTTTTAGTAGAGACGGGGTTTCGCCATGTTGGCCAGGCTGGTCTTGAACTCCTGACTTCAAGTGATCTGCCCACCTTGGCCTCCCAAAGTGCCAGGATTACAGGTGTGAGCTACCACACCTGGCCCAAATTTCTTAATTCAAATACATCCAAATCCATTTTTTTCAGAGATGGCCTTTTTCCCTGCTTTAACCCCAGATATATTTAACTGATTTATTGTCATTTAATGATACCTCTGCTTTGATCATAGTTGGTAGGAATAAATATTACACTTGAGTTGGAATCTGAACTGGTCTTTCTATAAGATATACTCCTTAACCCTATCCAGGGAAATAGATGTTTTATAAAACAATCCTTAAATGGAAGAAGATAAAACTATATGTCATGAGTAGCTAAGAAAAAAAGATGTTGAGAAAGTGCAGGAAAAAAAACATTTTGTTTTATTTTTCTAAAATTTTCACTTATTTATTTATTTAGAGACAGGGTCTTGCTCTGTTGCCCAGGCTGAAGAGCAGTGCTGCAATCATGGCTTACTGCAGCCTTGAACTCCTGGACTCAAGCAATCCTCCCAACTCAGCCTCCCAAGTAGCTGGGATTACAGGTGCATGCCACCATGCCTGGCTAATTTTTATATTTTTTTGTAGAGACCAGGTCCTGCTATGTGGCAAAGCCTGGTCTTGAACTCCTGGTGTAAGCGATCCTCCTGCCTTGGCCTCCCAAAGTTCTGGAATTACAGGCATGAGCCACTGTGCCCAGCTGAGAAAACCATTTTGTATCTGTCTTAAGAGTGGTTAGACAGCTTAAATATAAAAAAATTATAATTTTTGAAGATACTGTTATCTCTGAGGTCAAGAGCCTCTGGGACAGTACTAACAGCCTTACCAAGTGGTCAGGTCTATATACAGGACCTTTAACAAGGGCTTATGTGTATAGCAGACCATCCTGGCATGTGATTGTACCACACACTCTCTCCCAAACCTGTGTCTTCCCCTGAAGTTCTCAGGGAGAACCTGTATTAGAGAGCGAGACCCTGGGAGTCCTCCTAGACTTCAAATCCCAAGTAAGAAGAGCCTTAGATGACCAGCTGGGATGAAAACAAGTTTGCCTGCTCTCTACTGCCCACTGGGCAATGGGGCTACGTAACATGGACTCTTTCATTTAAGAACTTGTTTATTTAACTTTATCTCTCAGGTTAAGAATGAATGCTTGTGGGCTGTGCCATGTTACAGATCCTGTCTTAAGTAAGAAGACTCAATGATTTTCCTGAGAGATGCATTTTTAGGCTAACAATTAAAATGTGACCTAGGCCGGGCGTGGTGGCTCACGCCTGTAATCCCAGCACTTTGGGAGGCTGAGGTGGGCAGATCACCTGAGGTCAGGGGTTCAAGACCAGCCTGGCCAACATAGCAAAACCCTGTCTCTACTAAAAATACAAAAATTAGCTGGGCATGGTGGTGAGCGCCTGTAATCCCACCTACCTGGGAAGCTGAGGCAGGAGAATCGCTTGAACCCAGGAGACAGAGACTGCAGTGAGCAGAGATTGTGCCACCGCACTCCAGCCTGGACAACAGAATGAGACTCCGTCTCAAAAAAATAAAAAATAAAATAAAATAAAATAAAATAAAATAAAATGTGACCTAGAAAAAGTTAATTTCCAGGAAGTCATACCACAAGGTTCCACATAATTATTAAAGATGAAATGCAAACTCAGCTTCAAGTAAAGAGGAAAAAAGTTACAAGATTTATGATGTTGACTAATTGTATATGTTACTATGAAATATAATTATATATGTTAGTATGAAAACAAAAACGGGCGCAGTGGCTCACACCTGTAATCCTGGCATGTTAGGACGCCAAGGTGGGCGGATCACCAGAGGTCAGGAGTTCGAGACCAACCTAGCCAACATAGTGAAACCCCGTCTCTACCAAAAATACAAAAATTAGACAGGCATGGTGGCATGCGCCTGTAATCCCACCTTACTCAGGAGGCTGAAGCAGAAGAATTGCTTGAACCTGGGAGGCGGAGGTTTCGGTGAGCCAAGATTGCGCCACTGCACTCTAGTCTGGGCGACAGAGTGAGACTCAGTCTCAAAAAATAAAATAAAATAAAGAAAACAAGAAGTTGACCGCAGGAATTTAATGACATACAAGTATTTCTTTGTTTTTCTTTTGTCACTCAAGTGCTTTGTACAGAAAGTATAAGGCAAAATTAAATATGTTAAAATTTCCTTTTGTTTTCCTTTCTCAGAGTACCCAAGAGTGAATTTTTCAAAATATAGCTGTGTGTCTTATATGAACAGAGTATATTCTCTGTTCATATAACAGAAGCCGATTAGGGGCTATCTTTGAGCAGTACCTGGTGTTTCAGCAGGGGTCCCAGAGATGCTTCTCGTGAGGCCCGACTGGGCTGCGATGGTGACATGCAGCAACAGCTCGGCTCGGTTCATTAAACTCTTCACTAACGTCTTTGTTTTAGCCAGTGGGTGTGAGGGTTTCTGAATAAGAGAATTCACTTCTTGTAGGAACTTCTCCCTATAAAGAAAGACTGATGTGCATTGAGTTGTTCTCTAGCTTATCAAAAACAACTATTAAAAAAAAATGTTTACAAAGAATAAGAGAAGACACAGGGGAAACTAAGCAAAAGTAACCTAATCAACATTGCTTACTTCCCTGTTTCCTCATCCAAGTAACACTGTTAGAAACTCTGGCCACTTCTGGCTCCTTTTTCTGTTTCAAATGCCTATGCTAACTTTGGAAGGCTAAAACCAAAATTTCCAATTTACCAAATGAGTTCCAACTCTAAAATATTTAGTAAATTCACAACATTTAAAAATATATCTATTAAGAGACTAGACCTTTACAGTGTGTTTTGAGCATCAAGGTGATAATAGCCTTAATAGTTATTAATACGACTAACCTCAGTGATAGGACCATGTTTTCAAGATCATTCCCATCAAAGGAGACTTCCTTCATTGAACATAAAAGTTCTAGTTCTTTCATTTTGTTCTAAAGAAAAAAAAGATGGTATGCAGAATCTGCAAGAACCAAGTTTTACTATACATATATTAAAATGAACAGAAAATTTCAGAGAAAAACCACCACCTTTGGTCCACATTTCTATGCTTGAAACTCATTTGTAAGTTATTATTTGATATTTTAATGATTAAAAATGGCATTGACTACTTTCTGGGAATTCTTTCAGGGCTTATAATTTTGCCTATTTTTTGTTTTTTAAGGCTTGAAAGCAAAATTTGACCATGATGACAACTTCTTTATATATCTTTATAAAACTATTAATCAGTTAAAAAAACAACCTAATGAGTAATTATTTGTATACTGCATGTTGATCTAATCAATTTTCATTTAACCTCTTTTAAAGAATGGGTACATTTTTGGAGTGTGCAACATTTTAGGAAATGACATTATTTTACCTACACACACACACACACACACACACACACAGTATATACCTTTGCTCTCTAAATGGCAATACCCCAGTGACAAATCATACAATTTGCTCACCTCATTAAAATGGTAATCATAAAAGAAAGGCATGTTGTTCTCCAGTTTCCCCTGCATGGCATCATCAACTTCACTTTGCCATTTTTGTTCCAGTTCTGCAACACTCTAATAAATACATTAAAATAGATGCAAAATAAAAACAAGTATGATTCAAAATTTTAGTCACAATAGTAATTTTAAAAATTAGATCACATTCTAAATTTCTTTAAATTTCCATAAAAGAAATTGTTTCCAACAGTTATCAGACATTTACCTGCAGCTGTCTCTCCATGGCATTGAGTTTCTTAAAGGTCTCTCCCATAATTTTACATAATAAATCATATTCTTCAGCATGTTCTTCTTGATATTGGAAATTTATTAGAGACTGCAGTGCATCAACCAAGTTCAAGTGCTTAATAACACAAGATACCACCATTTCCTCCATCACGTCTGGCTGAATCACTTCTCTGTGATCACAATGGAAATCAGTCAGATATATGCCATGCTCTCAGCTTCTCAATACTGTATTTTATTTTTATTTTTTATTTCTTTAGAGACAAGGTCTCCCTCTGTCACCTAGGCTGCAGTTCAGTGGAGCAATCATGGCTCACTGCAGCCTCAAACTCCTGGGCTCAAGGGATCCTCCTGCCTCAGCCTCCCAGGTAGCTGAGACTACAGGTGCATGCTGCCATGCTCAGCTAATTTAAGAAAAAAAATTTTAGGGTGGCGGTTTCTCACTATGTTGCTCAGGCTGGTCTTGAACTCCTGGGCTCAAGCGATTCTCCTGACTTGGCCTCCCAAAGTATTGGGATTACAGGCATGAGCCACCATGCCCCAGGCCCAAGAGAGTATTTTACAGGTTGGAGAACTTAGGCTTTGATCTAAAGATATTAAATATTCACCACACCTCCTTTATTACAATAGAGTAAGAGGTATGAATAGTATAATGGCATTGTCGGAGTCTTACGTTGGCAAATAATTTAGTATATTGACTGATAAAACTGACATTGGCTGATAAAGCTGAAAATCAAGAGTAAAGAGACTTCAGCCTGTAATCCTAGCACTTTGGGAGGCTGAGGCTGGCGAATCACTTGAGGTCAGGAGTTTGAGACCAGACTGGCCAACGTGGAGAAACCCCGTCTCTACTAAAAACACAAAATTAGCCGGGTGTGGTGGCATGTGCCTGTAATCCCAGTTACTAGGGAGGCTGAGGCAGGAGAATCTCTTGAAACTAGGAGACAGAGGTTGTAGTGAGCCAAGATCACATCACTGCACTCCAGCCTGTGTGACAGAGCGAGACTCCCTCTCAAAAAAAAAAAAAAAAGAGACTTCATTTTCTATGATTGCTACATTTTGAGTTAGAGACATATTAGAGCTGGAAGAGGGCTAAGGCTAAGAAAAGATCTTCAGCAGCATCTATCCACTAATTAATTTTATGCGGTATTATGGCCTGCAGTGTTCAGTACATATGGATGTTGGGCTAAAAACGATAGTGTTTTCTGTATTTTTTTCATTTTAAATTTCATATATTCTCTAAAGTTTTCTCTCTGAAAACCTGCCTCAGGAGGCAGAGCAGAGGCCTGCAAAACAGACTTGACTTTAAGCAAGAATACCACAGACATTTGTAACTGTATGTACATTCTACATTAGAGAACTCCTCACCATTTCTCTAGGCATCAAAAATAAACACATGTCTCTAGACTCTGGAAAGTAAAGTAGAGGCTGACTGCTAGTAGAAGGTCAAAATACTAGAGATAAACCTAGCACTTGTCACACTTTAGCATGCATCAGTCAAATGGGAAACTTGTTAAGCTGCGCCCCATCCTCAGACCTTCTGATTCAATAGGTGCAAAATGGGGTCCAAGAACCAACAAGTTCCCAAGTGATGCCAATGCTGCTGACTGGTGGGCCAAATTTTGAGAGCCCCTAGTCTGGAATACTGCCTGGTGGGCCCTCTAGACTCAGTTAATTTTAACATTCATGGAGTAAACATAAAATTAAAGTTTCATTTACTAGACCACAGAAGAAATATACCCATTTCAATTGTTTAAACTTTTTTTTCCCATTGGGAAAAGTAAAACACTACACAGCAACATACTTTATACTTGGTCTAAATTGAGGTCTAGCACGCCCAGAAATTTCCCTGAGCTTTATCATGATTCCTGGAGGCAGTCTGATCCGAGGCAGATCAAAGTAGTTTCCAACAGGAGGCACGAGGACATCAGAGGGGTAGGTGAATTCTCTGTCTTCCTCTATGGTCAGAGGCAGTGGAGAGGGGCTCGGAGTAAGGGCAGGGGAGATCACGCCATTGGCCTCCACCTGCCACTGGCACCTGAGCAGACAGAAAAGAGGCTCTTCACTTCCTCTCTCAACAAGAGTATTGGAAAGCTATTGGATGTTTGCAGATACATCAAACATATGAAGGATCACATTCTGTGTTAAGTAATTACTCATCAAACCTTCTCCAGAAGCTAAAGACAAGTGAGCATTGTATGAAAGCCCATCTTTGGGGATCTAGCTCCCCCCCAATATTTAATCATTAAAACTTTTAAATGTACAGAAAAGCTGAAAGAATGACATGGTTAATATCCACAGACACACTTGTCTAGATTGTACAATAAACATTTGCTGTGTTTGCTTTATCACACATCCACCCATCCTCTTGGGATCATTCAATTTAATTAGACAATAATTGTGTTGGAGAAAAGCTTATGCAGTTCAAAGATGTAATTTTAAATTTAGTAAAGTAAGGGCCAGAAAGCACTATGGTGTAATTTTCATCTTATTTTTCTTAGACACAATGACACCCATGAGATTGCCAGGCAGTAGGCACAATCACCTGGGAAATGTACCAAAAGGATTTTTCCACATAAAGTCCTTTTTCCTTTGCAGGCAACACTAGCTCAATTTCAACCTTTTTGTTACCTTTGTAAAAGTTTGGACCGCAATAGCTCCTGACAGGCTTCTTCTTCTTTGGTAATTTCTGGTCCATTGTACAGGATTCTTAACATGGAACAAGCTAACACAGACAGACCTAAAGCCAGGTCTACCAGAAAGGGCAAGCCTCCTGAGACATCCTCCGAAGACTCCTACAATGCAGACAGGGGTAAACCACACTGGTCAGTGTACACTGGCAGAGGCTGCTACCTGTGCTGCCCCACACTGCACTGTCCCCAACCACAGGGTTCTACAGAGCAGCATCGAGTATCACTGCTAGGGGACACAGGTACAGCACCCAAATCATGACTAGATGGTGGCACTGGAATGACCAGAGTGAAGTCTCAACACATTTCTGGAGAGAAAATAGTTGATCAGACCCCATATACAATAGTACAAATCAAATAAATAGTACAAATGAAATAAAGAAGCCTGATTCTTTGATAGCTTCCTCTCTGTTGTGCCCACCTAAGTATAAATCACTATTTTGTTTTTTCACTTCCACCCTGTGCTCAAACTGTGATGTTGTCAATGACTGCAGTGAATTCATTCAAGAAATATTTACTGGGTGTCCTCTGTGTGCCAGCCATTGTTCTAGGTGCCTGAGATACATCAGAGAATGAAATGAAGATCCCTGCTCTCACGGAGCTTACATTCTAGCAGTTAATGCCACTCTGGAGAGTCTTAGCTTGGTTAAGCTTAAGAAACCTCAAAGTCTAAAATACGTTTTCGGAATCAGGCAACTGGAGGGGTAAGTAGGATGCTTAAGTACTCTGTTTTTTGTTTGTTTGTTTGTTTTTTAATTTTTGAGACGGAGTCTCACTCTATCACCCAGGCTGGAGTACAGTGGCATGATCTCAGCTCACTGCAATCTCTGCCTCCTGGTTCAAGCGATTCTCCTCCCTCAGCCTCTCGAATAGCTAGGACTACAGGTGCCCACCACCACATCTGGCTAATTTTTGTATTTTTAGTAGAGACGGGGTTTCACCAAGTTGGCCAGGCTGATCTCGAACTCCTGACCTCAGCTGATTCACCTGCCTCAGCCTCCCAAAGTGCTGGGATTACAGGTGTGAGCCACCACGCCCAGCCGGATGCTTAACTACTCTTAAAACCCAGGATCTAAGTGCTTATTTCTATTAAGTTCTATTGAGTCCTCTTTGCCCTGTGGAAAGATGCTGGGGTCAGGTCACCTCCCCAAACTTTGAAGAGGGAGCTCCAATCAATAGATTTATTTCTGTGCTGCTGAGTTGATTTTAGGTCATGGCTAGTTTTATTCTGTAAAAGTACTACTAACTGCTAGTAGTTGACTAGTGCCAACTAGAAGAGAAAGATGAAAGAGTGACTCATATTCTGCCCTGTTTCCAAGGCAAATATGCTGTATGTAATCAAGGCACATAGCAGATAGTACATTTTGTCCACGGCAGTGGTTAGATTCAAGTACCTGAGCGCGAACTGTGCAAGCAAAGCCCCACATGGCTTTATCAGGAGTGTTGTGTTCACGGCCACTTCTCATTTCAAAGGAGAAGGTGACTGTATCTCCTTCCACCTTAAAATTTAAGGAAGGGGGGGAAATGCACTTTAAAAACAAGATACACAATTTCAAAAGAGCAATGAATTTCAGAGGTTTACTTTCAAAAAGGACCACAGCAATATTTCACTCCTTTTCTCATTTGCTTTTTGATTCAAATTCTATTCCCTCTCATTTAGACAACCAGTCCTTTAAGTGTCTCTCCTGATGAGGTCGCCTTTGGGATGAGGCATCTGTGAAATGGGCCACAGTTGCCCATTAGCAAGATCAAGGTAAAGGTTAATCAAATCTTGAAAATAATTTTTTTTTTTTTTTTTGAGACAAGGTCTTACTCTGTCACCCGGGCTGGAGTGCAGTGGCACAATCATGGCTCACTGCAGTCTCAATCTCCCAGGCTCAAGCAATCCTCCCACTTCAGCCTCCTGAATAGCTGGAACTACAAGTGTGCAGAACCATGCCCAGCTAATTTTTTTATTTTTTTTTTGTAGAGACAAGGTCTCACCATGTTGCCCACGCTGGTCTCAAATTCTTGGGCTCAAGCAGTCTGTCCACCTCAGCCTCCCAAAGTGCTGGGATTACAGGCGTGAGCCACCTTGCTCGGCCTTGAGCATAATTTCTCTCTTTTTTTTTTTGTAATGGAGTTTCGTTCTGTCACCCAGACTGCAGTGCAATGGCGCAATCTTGACTCACTGCAACCTCCACCTCCTGGGTTTAAGCGATTCTCCTGTCTCAGCCTCCTGAGTAGCTGGCATGACAGACACACACCACCACGCCCGGCTAATTTTTGTATTTTTAGTAGAGACAGGGTTTCATCATGTTGGCCAGGCTGGTCTCAAACTCCCGACCTCAGGTGATCTGCCCGCCACAGCCTCCCAAAGTGCTGGGACTATAGGCGTGAGCAGCTGCACCTGGCCATAATTTCTAACAAATGGCTTGCCATCTATGGCTGAATTAAAGAGAGTCCATAACATATATGAAATAAAGGCCCCGGGAACAGACTTTGGAGACATTTTTGGGTTTTAACAGACATTTCAGTCTTATATTCATATTCCAGGCAGATACACAGTTAAGTAGTTTGAGGGCCAAATTACAAAGCATGGCACTAATTTCATCAGTTTGAGAATGGATAATTGTTTTTGCTCCAAAGGCCCAAATTCATCTGAACACATTAACTCAATACTTTTACACTGCAATGGCCTTGTGGTTCTAGGGTACTTGTCAACAGGGAGTGTAGAGGAGAACTAAGCTGGAAGATCTAGCAACCCTTTTAATCAACAAGGAAGAAAATGCTGTGACAACTTCTATGCATGGAGTAACTTGTGAAAGGGAGTGAACAGGGGTCTGATGTCCTACAAGTGAAAGGAGGGTCATTCTGAATAGAAGGAGTGAGCTGACAGGCCTGGTAAGGTGGCTCCACCTCAACAAAAGCCCCCAGGGCAAATGTTTTTCTGGGATTACAGTTAGTACTTGGACCTGTGAGGACTGCAAGTTCATTTTCTTTTCTAGGAAGCGATTATGACTGAATACCATACCTTCACCAAGTCTTTCGGCCAACCAGTTCCTAAGACACTACGGCTGCCATATCCCAGTGTGTTGCCTCCATATTCAGCAACCTTCCTACTGTTTGTGTTAGGCCCCGCATATATCACCAACTTCAAAACAGAAAATATACTGTTAGACTGTAAAAGAAAAACAAAAACAACATCTACAAATAAAAAGGCTGCAAAAACATTTGTTTAAAATACAATTATAACCAGGCATTGGTGTCATTATAGTATAACTAATATTTCCCGATTTTTTTAGGTATAACTGATACTAGTTTGGATGCAATCAGTCATTGGTATTTACAGGGAAGCCACAGAGTAATAACAATTCTTAATAAAAAGAAGTATACTTTTTATATTACCACACTTTAATTGGCTTGGGGACCTCACATTAAATAGTTATACTCAGTTATTGTACATCAATATTTTTGAAATAGCTATTTTAATGCTAATTAATAACAAATAACTCATTAATAACAGTTTGGCCCCTTAAGTCCTCCCCAAAATTAATAAAGTGAGCAAATACAGATGGAAATATGGTTATATCTAACACAACAACAAAATAAAAGCACCAAAAAAAATCAATGAATAAATAAGAATTTTTAAAAATGCAACAAATTGAAAATAAGCCATATATTCTTAGGATGTTGCTTAATGGTATAAAAAGAAAATGATACAAATTTGGGCCAGAAAGGGGGCTGCTGCTTCTTGGGTCAGTTTTCATGTATCAATATTTCTCTAATTCATTTATAACCAGCTGGCTGACTTTCTAATCGGCAGAAGAAACATTTATAGCTCATTTGGCATTCAAAGACTTCCATAGGAAAAATAAAGCTCTGGCTTCTGTAAATACCAAACCCTGTCTTCTAATGTGCGCTCTGACTGCTTCTCACTGCATCTAAGTTCAGATTTAGTAGCTCTATCTTCAGCCCTGAATGCTTATTATTTCGTGATTTCTTACCCTTTGGGGCCTTTTGCTGACACCAGCCAGGGACCACTGGAAAAGTAAATGTACTTTTATCCATGTAGTAAGCCTCTTTGTGCTTCACCATTTAACACTAATGTCTACTGCAGGCATAAGTTAGCGCATATTGGAAATGCAAAATACAGTTTTTAAAGGAGAAACAAAACGACACCAACTAAAATGGCAGCCTCTCCCATTTCTATATTAAAAGTCACTTCACCTGAACCTGGGAAATGGGGGTAGCCAATGCCAGGAGCTATGAATTACGGTGGACTGATGCTAGGAGAGATATGTTTCTGAAAGGCCTACTAAAGATCATCTCATATATTTTCTTGCTTCCAGCTAAGGTGAGTTTTGAAGACAAGGCTTTGGGGACACCTGGGAATCTTCACTATCCTAAAAGATAATGGGGAAGAGGATTCTATAACTTGCCCAGAAATGTGTTTCACCATCTCATAGTATATACAGTTAAGAAGTCCTTTATTTTTAACCTAAAAACCTCCCCGGATAGAATTTTTTTAAAAGTCAGCCTCAGAAGTCAGAATCCCCTGCTAGGATTTAAGCCCATTTGCCCTCACACAGTTCACAGGGGAGAGAGAAAACAGATCACTAAGAAGCTACATAAAAATAGTATGCACGAAGCTATTAGATAATCCTCCAACTGTTCTTTCATATGTTACATATTTCATTAGCCTTTCCCCCTAAGACCACATGACAGGTTACAATTCAACAATTCTAAGTAGAAGAAAATGCTTCAACCCCTAAGATGCTTCCTTTCGTTCATAACTGTTAAGCCACCAGGTTGGAAACTACTCTTCCTCAAAAAAAGAACAAATGTTTAAATAAATATAAACCAGATCCTAGCACCTCTGAAACCCTTCTAAAAAGCCACCTTTTCCCAAAAGATACATGAGAAGCCCCAAGAATTGGGCAGTGAGACCTTTCTAGATGAATGGACATCACACATCTGGGGTAACTTCAAGCACGGAGGGAGGGCAGGGGGTAAGCAGAATGAAAAGGAACATTTCCTTCCTCTCATATATCTAAGCACCTGAAAGCTTACAAAGTACACTTTCAACATATCATTAAAACATTGTTCTTAGACTGCAGAGGTGGTGTTTCTTTAACTCCCTCAATCACTACCCTTCAAAGATAAGAACTTTATCTTAGGAAAGTTCTCCTTAGAGATATCTGCAGACAGAAATCAGTCAAGAATGGTGACCAGCAGCAAAGAAAAATAAGAAGCATCTAAGAATCAGCTTACTCGAGGTGGAACCAATAGTAACCCAGTTCTTACTTACTTTGTCATAGTCATATTGCGAAGAGCATCTGCTATCAAATCTAAGGTACAGGCAGCGAGCTCCTGGGATATGGACCGTTTCTTTAAATTTATAGTTGTCTCTGACGGGGTGGACTGTTTCCACAGTCTTTCCAGCAGCCCATGGGGCAGGAATCTTTAAACCAGTGAGAAATCCTGGCTCTTCCTTCTCTTCTAACATTCTAAACAGAAAAAGAGAAAGTGATTTAGCTTAGCAGCCAAGGAAAGGAAAAACAATGTAAACATTAAATTGCTCTTTAATTTTCCACAGCATGCAGTATGATAACACTGAGGCTTTTAAATGCTTGATATCAGTGGCAATCAGAAACATTTTAAAAATTCCTACATTTAAGGGTTTTTTCTTTCCTTGTTGTCAGATATTATACTTGCTTTTTTTTTTCTTTTTTGCCTTTTTCCAGGACAAGAAGCAGAGATATATTTTCATTTTTCCCTCTTTTTTTCAAGGGCGAAGCCCAGTTGATATCCAAGAGAAGACCTGATCAATTCTCATTTAAAGGTACTCAGAAAAAAAAAAAAGATACTGTAAAGGATCTTTAAGATTGGCCACTTTGCAAATCCCACAGGGTTAGCATCCTGTAAACATTTCCTTTTGTTGATATCTACATGACAATTGTTGAAAACTCCAGGAGTCTACATAGCTACTTTTCACCATAATTTTTACTAAAGAAAGGTGCCTTCAAAGGTTCTCTTACCTACTGTAATTGAACTCTCAAGGACGACATGGAGCCTGAGGTTGTGGAATACAAACTCCTAAGACTTAAACTTAGTTACCATGGAATTCTCTTATTCTTTCAACTCCGAAGCTTGAGCTGCAAAGCCTTACTGTCCAATATGGTAGCTACTAGTCACATGTGGCCATTTCAATTAAATTGAATTTAAATGAAATAAAATTTAAAATTCAGCTCCTCAGTCACATTAGCTATATTGCAGGTGCTAAATAACTACCTGTGGCTATGGAACTAGACAGCACAGATAGAAGTTTTCATCACTGCGAAAAGCTCAATTCCATAGCCTGCTGCTCTAGAGAAACCCAGGAAATCTTTTTTAAAGACAGCTTTAATGCAACATAACTGACATAATAAATTGCACATATTTAAAACATACAACTTGATAAGTTTGGACATTTGTTATACCATTAAGTTTCCTTCTTCCTCTTTGTAACCACTCCATTTCTCTGCCAGGTGATCACTTATTTGCTGTCTGTCACTAGAGATTAGTTTGCATTTTCTAGAGTTTTATAGTATGTGGCTTCTTTCACTCAGGGTTAAGTATTTTGAGATTATATAAACATTGTTGTATATAACAAAAGTTCATTCCTTTTTATTGCTGATTAGAGTCCATTGTATGACTATATCACAATTTGCTTATCCATTCACTTACTGATGGACGTTTATGTTGTTTCCAGTTTTGGGCTCTTCTAACCAAAACTGTTACGAACCTTAATGTCAAAGCTTTGTAAGAACCTATGCTTTCTTTTCTTGTGTGAATACCTAAAAGTGAAATAGTTGGGTCATACAATAGGTGTATGTTTAACTTTTTAAGAAACAGCCGGCAGGGTGTGGTGGCTCACGCCTGTAATCCCAGCACTTTGGGAGGCTGAGGTGGGCGGATCATGAGGTCAGGAGTTCAAAACCAGCCTGGCCAACACAGTGAGACCTCGTCTCTACTAAAAAATACAAAAATTAGCTGGGTGTGGTGGCGTACGCCTGTAATCCTAGCTACTCATGAGGCTGAGACAGGAGAATTGCTTGAACCCAGGAGGTGGAGGTTGCAGTGAGCTGAGATTGCGCCACTGCACTCCAGCCTGGGTGACAGAACAAGGCTCCATCTCAGAAAAAAAAAAAAAAGAAACAGCCAAACTGCCTGCCAAAGTCATAATATTTTACATCCCCACTATTAGCATATGAGAATTTCAGATCAATTTTGAACTAATCTCTTGATCCATGGGGAAATTTATGCTAACCAGTTGCTATAAATCTACAAAGCAATGCTACAGTTATCTAAAATTTTCATTCTGAAGTCTTTTTCTTTTCACAGCTAGATAATCCTTGCTAAAAATCATTTTCATAAAAGGAGTACTACGCTTTCACCCAAAGAAAACAAGAAAAGGGTTCCTGCAAGGAAGCAGCATTCATTACCTCTCATCAGGGAACAGCCTGCACTTCTGGTCTGGTGCACCACACGGGGAACAGCCCACCTCAGCAAAAACCGGACACTGGGTTTTAAGCAGCAACGCCGTCTGAAACACAAAACCATCATTATGTCTTCCAGGGCTACTGTCAGTTATCTGAATGGTATGACAGCCAAACTTAGAGGTCTCTCTTAAATCATCTTTTTACAATCCTAGTCTGCTCTCCTTCATTAAGAAATGCTGTGCTACTTAGACCACTTAACATTATTTTACTTAATGCTGTAATGGAATGCATCATTTATATTAGCTACTATTAGCTGGCAAGGACTCAGGAGACAAACTATAATGGTAGGTTTTTGGTAGCATTGTATATTAGCATTTTTATAGCTGATCAGCCATGAACACTTGCTAAAAGGTTGCAGTTAGTAATTTAGTCAAACAAATAAAATGTTTTCCCTTATTATTTATTTTTATGACATGATATTTTTCTTCATTCCATCATTATTTCCCTTGGTTTCTGAAAGGCAGGATTATGTTTATTCTGTCTTCAGTGAAAGCAAACAGCCATCCTGTGAAGCAGGTTGGCCAAAAAGCAGTTCACTTTGGCACACCAAGGATCATACCTGGCTGGTATAGAGTACCAGCTGCACTAGCTGAGGCATCAGGGCATCCGCCATGATCAGAGTCTGTAAATTTGGATGCATCAAGGAGGTCAGTAACACTGGAAGAAGGTGACCAAGCATAGTAGCCTTAGTAACTTGTTCCAAGCCTTTTAACCTACAAAAAGTTCAAGAAAAACACACAGCCTAAGCAATGCCCAAACATGTGAAGAAGCACTAATGTCATCTTTATCTGACAATTTCTCCTAAACTGCACCTCCTTAAACTACTTAAGCACTTTCAGCGATAGCAATTCAGTCCACAAATTTTCCACCTTCTGCCACTGAGGGAGAGGGGAAGAACAGAAATAAAGCTATTAATAGATTTCACCTTCAGTCTCTGATTTTTGCCAAAAAATTTATAAGCTGCCTTTTTTTTTTTTTTTTTTTTTGACAGGCTCTCACTCTTGTTACCCAGGCTGGAGTGCAGTGGTACGATCACAGCTCACTGCAGCCTTGATCTCCTGGGTACAAGTGATCCTCCCACCTCGGTCTCCCAAATTGTTGGGATTACAGGTATGAACTACTTAGGTTCTAGGTTCTAGGTTGCTACATGGTGCATTTCATAGCACCTTTGAAGCACTTTACAAATGGATTCTAAAATGCCAATGGCTACTACCTGTAAAGTTCTCTTGCCTCTGGGGCTGCTGGTCACTATGCTACACAGTGACTCTAAACAGGAGGAAGTGAATGGCTACAACATTGATTCACCTGCCCAGAGCTGTGACATCCATTACTGGTCTAGAGAAACTGAGGCTTGTCTGGGGCATGCAGAAGCAGGCAGATTTCTTCCCCCAATTTTTTTTTTTATTATGGTAAAATAAACATAGCACAAAATTTACCATCTTAACCATTTTAAGTGTACATTTCAGTGTTATTAAATAATGTTGTGCAACCATCACCACCATCCATCTCCACAACTCTTTTTGTGTTATAAAACCCAAACTCTATGCGCATTAAACAATAACTCCTCATTTTCCCCTTGCCCCCAGCCCCCGGCAACCACCATTCTACTTTCTGTCTCTATGATTTTGACTCATCTAAGTAGGCAAATTTTTAATTTATCTTTAAAATCACATTCTTAATATCCCTGTCCTCTGCTAGAAGAGTTAAGGAATGTAGAAAGAAATGGATTATGTAAATTCCTTAAGGCTACTTAGGATATTGGTAGTGGAACCAGAAACCCAGGCTCTCCCATTAGACAGAACTACGTATTACTAAGCCTCAATGCAATGCCTATCTGGGTTATACTGTTCCCAATCCCAACCTCCTATCTACTCTCTGGGAGTGGGTAAGAACCAAGTCCATAGGAACAGACAGGGTTACGGAAGCAAAAATTACACTGTAGGATTCTTTTAGATCTACAGCTCCAACATGCAAATTGTCAAAAAACACAGTATTCAATGCATCTCTAAAAACAAACCAGAGCAGAATTTTTTTTTTTTTTTGAGACAGAGTCTCGCTCTGTCACCCAGGCTGGAGTGCAGTGGGATGATCTCGGCTCACTGCAAGCTCCGCCTCCCAGGTTCAGGCCATTCTCCTGCCTTAGCCTCCTGAGTAGCTGGGACTACAGGTGCCTGCCACCATGCCTGGCTAATTTTTTTTTTTTTTTTTGTATTTTTAGTAGAGATGGGGTTACAGCAGAAATTTTAATGTGAAAGGCTGAGAAAGGGCTTTATTACTGTGAAAGAGAAGTCTGCCCTCTATATAGGTCAGCCATGTATTTGGAGAAGTAAAATTACAGTAAAATCTTGAGGTACCACATCAGTGTCATCCTTTGTGTAGCAGTTGGTAAGTCACTTCTTCCTCCCAAAAGTCTTTATCATGAGGAAACTAAGTGTGCATGGTGCTGACCTTGATAATTAAAGGAAAGGCCATTTTGGGAGTGATGGCAGTAGAAGTCTCAAGTGGCAGAGATTAGGCTGTGCCCTCCACAACCTCGCTACCCTTAGATCATGGCTGTTGGCCCAATCTCACCTGAAAGCACATGAAAGAGTGTGACTGCACTTGGCTTTCAAACACTTGCCCTTTTAGCCTATTCTCACAAAAATCTCTCTATATAAAATTGATCCTTCTATATTCTAAAAAGATTTAATTTCAATAAACAAACTTTTCTTCCCACAGGGCAGCTGGTCACAGCCCACAATCCATTCCTCACCTCTGCTCACGGTCTGCTATGTCACTATTTATGAGGGCAGTTGTGACCTGCTGTAGCATTTCCAACACTTCATCACATCCAGTCAGGATTTGGGTGGCAAGAGCCAAAATACTGACTTTTAGCTCCTAGGCAGAAAATATCATCATATTATTTTTAAGCTTTGTGATGAACATACGTTCACAATGACAACATGAAATGATGTATTTAATGATGTATTTCCAAATGAAATAATGAGGTGGACAGAATAAGCCCAAAGCAGTAAATTCTGCTAGAAATAATGAGGTGGCCAGAATAAGCCCAAAGCAGTAAATGGCAAGTAGCAATTTGGGAGGCCAAGGTCTGGAGAGCTGACAGAAATACGCAGTATTTCAGAGGGATCACACTGAGTCCCTAGGAGAAAAGGCTCCCATCCCAGCCAGCACAAGAAATATTTCCCATCCCATCCAGCACAAGAGAGCTCCTGGTGGCCAGCCCAGAAACTGTCCAGGTGGAAGACTGCCTTGGGTGGTATGAGGATAGCTAAAGAGAAAAACAGAACAGTAAAAGGCGCATGTAGAGGCGGTGAATAAAATGAGACAAAAACACAACATTCTAAAACAGTACAAGTGACCTTTTACTCAATGTCCTAAACAAATCACAGTTAAAAACAGGCAGTTAAAAAAATTCAATTAAAGTAGCAAGCAGTTACAGGCTATTAAACATTAAAATAACTATTAGAGAGTTCGTGGGAGTACAAATACTAAATAATGTGTTAAGAAAGACTAGCTAACATCATAGAAATGTTTAGTTTACAATTATTTTCAGTTAAAAAAATACAAACTCTTTGGGGGACATGTTTCCCCAGAAACCTAGACAACTGAGCCTATTCAGCCTTTCCTAAGAGTCTTTACATTTCTATGTTTAATTAAGAATTTACTAAGGCTAGGCCGGGCACGGTGGCTCATGCCTGTAATCCCAGCACTTTGGGAGGCCAAGGCAGGTGGATCACTTGAGGTCAGGAGTTCAAGACCAGTCTGGACAACACGGTGAAACCCCGTCTCTACTAAAATTTCAAAAATTAGCTGGGCATTACAGATGGGCGCACATCTGTAATCCCAGCTACTCGGGAGGCTGAGGCAGGAGAATCGTTTGAACTCAGAAGATGGAGGTTGCAGTGAGCCGAGATTGCACCACGGCTCTCCAGCCTGGGCGACAAAGAGAGACTCCATCTCAAAAAAAAAAAAAAAAAAAAAAAAAAAGAATCTACTAAGGCTAAAATTTAGCCTTCAAATAGAAAAAACTTTCTCATTGTTGGAATTTTCTGGGGTCTTTATTATTATTATATTTTTTGAAACACAGTCTCACTCTGTCACCCAGGCTGGAGTGCAGTGGCATGATCAGGGCTCCCTGCAACCTCCACCTCCTGGGTTCAAGCAATTCTCACGCCTCAGCCTCACCAGCAGCTGGAATTACAGGGGAGTGCCATCACGCCCGGCTAATTTTTGTATTTTTCAGTAGAGATGGGGTTTCACCATGTTGGCCAGGCTGGTCTCTAACTCTTGGCCTCAAGTGATCCACCTGCCTCAGCCTCCCAAAGTGCTGGGATTACAGGTGTCAGCCACCACACCCAGCTGTTTTTAGTATTATTGAGATTTTTTTTAATCTTTAAGAGAGTAGGAACTCTGAACTAATGATGAGCCAAATCATGTTTTAAGTCACACTAATGACATTCATGATCATCTACTGACTCCATACCACATGGCAGCAAAGTGCCAGGTATTTACAGGGCTTGTTGTTAATACAGCAACTTTACAAAGAAGATGTTATTGTCCCTTTTTACTGATGAGAAAACTAAGGCAAGAGAAGTTAAATAAATATTATCAACAACTTAAATTAAAAGTGCATGTATGTCTGCCTATTTAAAAATGGATTATACAATGAGGTAAACTCATAAGTACAAACTATCAGATGTATTATTTAAATAGTATATATGCATAAAGGAGTAAGAAAGGGGCAAACTGCATTGGCTTTTATCTTTAACTGTGGCTTCCTTGGTTGATTTTTCAGTGTGTTTAACATTTTAAGAAAGAATAAAGTTCTTGTAGATTTCTCTGATTCTCCCACAAAGATGAAATTCTGAAGAACAATGCAAACAACAGCCTTGAGCATCTGTCAAAATTATAACAACCATGGCTATAAAAAAATCTTTGGACTGCTATAAATTGTCATGTGGGAACAAGTTAGTGAGTTTACACAGAAGCTAATTTAAAAATAATCACAGAAAATGAAATTGACTATAGGTTTAGAAATTAGATTATTCCATACAAAGATTGAAAAAATTATCACCTTTTAAAAGTTATTTTAATCAAGAGAATATAATAAACCATCTAAAATTTTGAAATTATTTAATGCTCCCAAGATTTTTATATATATATATATATACACACACACACACACACACACACACATACACATATATATGTCTATGTAGCTATAACTTTCAGGTACACATGAGATCACTTGTAAGTGCCATATTTTATAGTTCTTAAAAGAAGATGGAAGTAAACAAAGGCACAAAAAGGTTGACAGGAGCACACGGATGACACATTATGAGTGTCACAAGTAGGTGACTACTGTGTAATGACATAAAAAATCTATGGAATGAGTGGCCTAATGTTACCTCTCACAAGAATATAAGCCACAAGGTGAATTCTGACATCATAAAACACAGAAATTTAGCCAATTAAGCTGCTTTTCACACTGGGTAGAACGCATCGTTAAAATAAAGCTTGGTGTTTACCTGTACCTTCAATGTCTCTCCCTGCAAGGAGCTGTCACTGTCATCATTCTCATCAGGTTTAATCAAAATAGTGTTACTGAGAAGGTGATTCTGAACTGCCATCAGATAGCGCAGGCAGGAGGATGCAGCCTTTAATACAAATAAGGGCATTTAAATGATCTAAATCCTACTGAAAGAGCGATCATGTAATCCTCATGTTTTTAAAAGATTTTGACAAAGAAAACAAAAAGAGAAATAAAAAAAACAGACCAAGTTAGTTTTTCAGGTGCCTTATTTCCACATGGCTTTCCATACATACTTTGACACACTTACTATAACTTTCTGCCTTTTGGTACACAATCCTCACTAATTAGAATACTTACTTGAATTTTTGCCTCTTAATAATTATTCTTCCCCCTCCCTCTCACACACATCTCCATTATAGAAGAATACTCAAACCCTTAAAAGAATCTTTTGATTCCTATTGGTCTCTATAAAACACTCATGGTTTAGAAAACAATGTAAAATTAAAAATTAATAGGGAAAAAACACTCTCACTAGATAAAACAAAAACTCCCAAATCTGATCAATTTATTGCATCAAGCAATTTAAGCAGGGGGAATAGTCTTTGGAAAGTTTTTCAAGTGGATTTGTCTAGTTCTACATTTCTAGGGTAAGTAGTAATCCACGGACTTTCATAAATTATTATTATTATTATTTGAGACGGAGTCTTGCTCTGTCACCCAGGCTGGAGTGCGGTGGCGCGATCTCAGCTCACTGCAAACTCCACCTCCTGGGTTCACGTGATTCTCCTGCCTCAGCCTCCTGAGTAGCTGGGATTACCGATGTGTACCACCACACCCTGCTAATTTTTGTATTTTTAATAGAGACGGGGTTTCACCATGTTGGTCAGACTGGTCTTGAACTCCTGACCTCAGGTGATCCACCCACCTTGGCCTCCCAAAGTGCTGGGATTACAGGCGTGAGCCACTGCGCCCGGCCTTTCATAAATTATTGTAAGTCTGTATGTATACACACACCTGTCAATATAATAAAATGAAAACAGGGATGCTTGATATAATTTTGCTTTCATTAAACACATTTTTACTTACAGGCACAGTTGAAAGGAGCTTTTGAAAATCATCTTTAGAGACAGTTTGGCACTTGGTGATTAAGATACAGGATTCTCGTACAACAATCTTCAGAATGTAGTGTAAAAGTTCATCATTTAGTCTTTAAAATGCAGGAAAAATGTAACAATAAAATATTGATGGTTTATTCATAAAAGGATAAATTTTATATAATTAGTATAAGATGACAAATAAAAGATACATAATTGATTCTTAAGCAAATCACCTTAGTAATAATGCTAACAACTAGGTATATTATTTAAATCAAACTTATAGAAATCAAATGGCACCCAACTACAAAGTCAAAGTATTTTATAAATAACATATAAAAACAACACCTTCGTCCCCTTCACCAGCTCTAACACACATACTCAGCCTTTCTCATAAACCAGCAATTTGGATGGTACTCTGAACCAAGATCTCCTAAGTAAGTTCCATCTGTTATTTTTGCTAAAGACCCTTTCCCCAGGCCCAACTTACTTTACTGATAAAACTGAAATGTGCAATTATCAGTTCTGAGGGGAACTGTGGAATCTATTATCTTTCAACTGGTCCATGCTTTAGGTTTAACATGCTAACGATCGTATTAGTTATAACAGGAGACTAAAGTTGATCAAACACATTTAAATGTAAACTAACGACTGAGAACACAAAGGCTAGAAGTGAATAATATAACTGGTGTCACCTGTAATGATCATCCTCATCACTGCCAAATCGGTTGTTTTGGAGCTGTTCAGCCAGGTTGGTTAGGATCACATCCCGTAGCTGGGAGAGTCCACTGTTTCTCTCTCCTAACACAGAAGAAAGCTCCATCAACTACCCTGGTAATGACTCCTAGAATACTGATGCTATTTTTAAAAAGTTTTTAAACAAATAGATTGTCGGCAAGCTAGGGGCACCAGACATACGGACTTATACAAATAAGAGTGGCAAAAACGACATCACAACGAATCCGACTTTTTAACCAGCATCCTGATTAAAGTGTAATTACCCTCTTGATAGATCATGAAGTGTGATTTTTTATTCCTTAATGTTGCTTTTAAATGCCAACTGTCTTTAACATAGTACCTTTTGTTGTGTTGTTTAGTCTAACTTAAAATGTTAGGCTCTAATGTGTGAAGATAACTGGCTTAGAAATCACCAATAAGTGATTATTTTATTTATTAAACATCTATAGTCAGATACATTATGCTAAGCAGTGGAGACAGAAAGTTTATAAAGCTTGCAGATATATAAAACATGGTTTTTGCTTTCAATCTGGTTGAAGTGTAAGCATATATGCAGATACATTCTTTCTTTTTTCTTTGAGACAGGGTCTCATTCTGTTGCCCAGGCTAGAGTGCAGTTGTGTCATAACAGCTCACTGCATCCTCAACCTCTTGGGCTGAAGCAATCCTCCTGCCTCAGACTCCTGAGTAGCTTGGATGACAAGGCATGGGCCACCATGCCCAGCTAATTGTTTTTATTTTTTGTAGAGTCAGGGTCTTGCTATGCTGGCCAGGCTGGTCTCGAGCTCCTGGGTCAAGTCATCCTCCTGCCTTGGCCTACCAAAGTGCTGGGATTACAGGTGTGAGCCACCGTGCCTGGCCTGCAGATACATTTCTTAAATATGCTGACTAACATACATGAAGAAGTGTAAATATTATCTGAATATGCAGTTGTTTCCTTGGGGACAAAAAAAGGACGGCTGTTCAAAGATAATTAAAGGATAATTCTTACCTTCTGTTAAGACCAGTTTAAGTAAGTTATTGATTTCAGTTTCACCTGGGTACAAGATATTTAAACCAGAGCTGAAATGACAAAAAAGTCAAAAACATTTAAGCAAATGTTCTAGAAAATCAACTCTAAATATTTAAATTCATATTTTTATTAAAGATGTCAATTGGATGTGAGGGCAATCTGGCTGCGACATCTGTCACCCCATTGATCGCTGGGGTTGATTCGGCTGATCTGGCTGGCTAGGCAGGTGTGCCCTTCCTCCCTCACCGCTCCATGTGCGTCCCTCCCGAAGCTGCGCGCTCGGTCGAAGAGGACGACCATCCCCGATAGAGGAGGACCGGTCTTCGGTCAAGGGTATACGAGTAGCTGCGCTCCCCTGCTAGAACCTCCAAACAAGATGTCAATTGATTACATAAAACTGTGAAATAACTTTTATCACTAAAAAGGCATTAAAAAAAAATTGAGACAGGGTCTCAATATGTTGCCCAGGTTAGTCTTAAACTCCTGAGCTCAAGCGATTCACCTGCCTTGGCCTCCCAAAGTGCTGGGATTGCAGGTGTGAGCTACTGCACCTGGCCTAAAAAGGCATTTGAACCTAAATTCACTGTCACGATCCAGTCCAATCACTTCCCTGATAAGTGGCATCCCTCTCCTCCTCTTCCTGTGAATTACCCAAATGATAAGTACTTGGGGCTAGATGCAGAACTGGTTAGAGAGAATTGGTAAGCTATGAAAAGTCAATGTAGTCAAGCCTACATATAACTATTGTGCCTCCCCAAAAAAACACTTGAGAAAGTAAATTTCTAATTCTCAGCTTTTCCGAAGAGAAGGGAAGAACAATATTGCAAATGGCATCAGAATCTTTTTTCTTTTCATTAATTTATTTGTGTGTGTGCTTATATGTGTGCATGTGTGTGTTTTAGACAGGATCTCACTGTCACCCAGGCTGGAGTGCATGGAGTGCAGTGGTGTGATCTCAGCTCATTGCAGCCTTGACCTCCCAGGCTCAAGTGATCCTCCCACCTCAGTCTCCCAAATAGCTGGGACTACAGGTTCTTGCCAGGGCATCGGGCTAATTTTGTTTTTACTTTTTTTGTAGAGACAAGGTCTTACTATGTTGCCCAGACTGGTCTCAAACTTGGCCTCGGCGATCCACCTGCCATGGCCCCTCAAAGTGCTGGGGATTACAGGCATGAGCTAACACACTCAGCCTCTTTTCTTTTTTAATTGAGGTTTAACATTTAATCAAGTGCACATATTTACAGTGTACAATCTGATAAGTCTGACATATGTATACACCAATGAAACCATCACCACAATCAAGATAGTGAATATACCCATCCCCTCCAAAAGTTTCCTCAGAGCATCAGATTTCAATCATTGCCTTAATGCTCCACAGAAAGAGATTCGAAGCATAATGTGCTGTGGAAGGAAAACAACTTCCTGTCATCTATGCTCACCCCTGTCATACAGATCTTTCAGACCAACCATTCAGCTCTCTCTTGGACACTAAATTATACTTAATCACTTTAAGGCTGTATTCCTGTATAAAAGTTTGCTGAGGCCAGGCGTGGTGGCTCACACCTGTAATCCCAGTACTTTGGGAGGCCAAGGTGGGTGGATCACCTGAGGTCAGGAGTTCGAGACCAGCCTGGCCAACGTGGTGAAACCCCATCTCTACTAAAAATACAAAAATTAGCCAGGCATGGTGGCACATGCCTGTAATCCCATCTACTTGAGAGGCTGAGGCAGGAGAATCACTTGAAGCCAGGAGGCGGAGATTGCGGTGAGCTGAGATCACACCACTGCACTCGAGCCTGGGCAACAAGAGTGAAACTCCGTCTCAAACAAGCAAAAAGAAAAAAAGTTCACTGAACTAAAAAAACAAACCAAAAAAAAAAAAGACTTACAATAAATAGAAAATGGCCTATAAATTCTGCTCTCTTGTCTGAAAAGGTTTTTTTTTTTTTTTTTTTTTTTTGAGGCGGAGTTTCGCTCTGTCGCCCAGGCTGGAGTGCAGTGGCGCGATCTCGACTCACTGCAAGCTCCGCCTCCCGGGTTCACGCCATTCTCCTGCCTCAGCCTCCCGTGTAGCTGGGACTACAGGAGCGCGCCACCATGCCCGGCTAATTTTTGTATTTTTAGTAGAGACGGGGTTTCACCGTGTTAGCCAGGATGGTCTCGATCTCCTGACCTCGTGATCCGCCCGTCTCGGCCTCCCAAAGTGCTGGGATTACAGGCGTGAGCCACCGCGCCCGGCCCTGAAAAGGTTTTAAACAGGTTGATAAAGGCTTGCATTGTTGAGCACTTACTTTGCATCAGGCCTTACCTTAGGAAAACCTCACAAACCCATAAAACAGGTGCTATTTTTATGCCCATCTTACAGCTAAGGAAATGCGAACCTTAAACCAAGGTCACACTAGTGAGTGGCAAAGTCTAGAACCCAGGTCTGCCTGTTGCCAAAGCCTGCTTCTTAACCACCCTGCCACACTCTGCAAAATGAGATCAGCTTGCAAACAATCAAAATATCCACTTAAAGGGTTGGTTTTGTTTGTTTGTTTGTTTGTTTTAGATCCAAACAGTGAGATAAGGAAATGCAGGTACACAGTTGGCTTTGGTCCTCTGAAGGTGGGGCCACAAACCCCTCTCCAGTGAAATTATCCCCAATCCATGAGGTCCCAATTGTGGGATGGGGTAAGAGGCATTTATACTACCAGCTTTCAGGGAAGATTACAATGCCTTGCAGAAGAATCATTTTGCAGAGAGCACTACAAAAATCATTAGCTGTTTACCTGATGGCAAGGCAGACTTCCTTCTGAATTTCAGGGCAAATTTGATCTTTTGGAGCCATCAACAACTGCCAAAGAAGCAATCCCGACCGTCGAATGATGTCTCGATTCCTTTCAGTTTGTGGGCTGAAGAAAAATTTAAATACCACCTACAGAAACAGAAGGAGTCTATCTAAAAATGCTAATTCTACTGGGGATAAAATTATCTCTACAAAGAAAGTACATGGTAGATATCCTATGAACAAATAACCAGGTGGATTTTGTTTAACCACAATCTCTTCTACTGTGTAACGGTATAATTATAGTAAATATTTTGCATATATTAATTGTAATACGCTATGTATAGCAATACTCCATTAAGCACAGTGCAATGAATATGATAATTCTAACTCCAGGATCAGAAGGTGGTAAGATGCAGAACAGGAAAATCATTAAATTTTTCTTCTGGTAAAAATGAACTGGCTGAAGCCAAGGTTTGCGTTTCCTTTTCTCTATCATCTTATTTATTTCAAAACAGTGTATTTACCTGAAAGACAACGAGAATGCAGCGTATAATACAGGTATCTCCATTAACCATGGCCTTCTCCATAATGTCACAAATACTGCTAAGATGATGTGCTTCAATTGGATGCTGCTTGCCCAAGACACTTGTGATTGGAAGATTGGGGTTGGTGGCAAGAAGATTGAGTTGGTGTATGCACATCGCACCAACGTGGTGCAATAATTGGTTTATAACCTCATTCGTGGTTATAGCCTCTTCTAGAAGATGAAAAGGAAACTGAGTGAGGAAAGACATCTCTATGGGTGGTCCCCAAAGAATAGACCTTTGACTTACAAAAGGTGTGTGCGCACTAGAAAAGGATATTTTGGCTATAATCTCTTTCACTGCTGCCAGAGAACGCTTCTCCCTGCCACAGGTGCTGGGGTGAAAACACTTGGGGAGTTCATTTGTTTGGAACATAAGTAGCTACCACTTCCTGAGCCCTTTTTATATGCTGAAGAATGGGCTGAATGCTTTACATGGTTCTCAACTTAGACTATTTTAGCCCTGTTTTGTAGAGCAATAAACCAAGAGTCAGAGAAGTTAAGGTACTTGCCCTAGGTCACACAGCTAAGAAGTGGTAGAACTGGGATTTGGATTCAGGCCACCTCATTCCACAGCCCCTACTGGTAACCATTCTAGTAAAACCTCTCCATATCCTATGTCTGCTCCATATTAGAACTCCTGTCTATAAATAGCTCCTCATGTTTTGACATGTTAAGCTGAAAATGCCCGTTAGATAACCAAGTGGAAGTGAATCCACAGTCTGGAGTTCAGGCAAGAGGCTTGGTAGTCAGTAATATAAAGTGGACTTTCTTTTCTACTTTTTGCTTTTTCAAAAAAAAAGCTTTATCAAGATATAATTTACATTCCATAAAACTCGCCCACTCTAAATGCACAACTCACCAAGTTTTAGTAAATTTACACAAATACCAAAATCAAGAATGAAAGCTGAGAAAAAACACTGACCCTACAGATACTAATTACTGTGGTGATTAACATTTGTCTACATGAACTGGCTTTGGTCCTCTGAAGGACCAAGTCTACAAGTTCTCTGATATGCTTCTTCTAGGAGGTGGAGCTTAATTCCCCTTCCCTTCAGTGTGGTCGAGACTAACAGAGTGTGGAAAGGGAGAAGTGGAATCTTAATAGTGGAGAAATCTGGCAGACATCATTTAAACAAAGTGATCAGTTTTTAATATCACTAGTAATAAGTCATGTCAATATCATGTACCTTGGAATAGAAGTAATGTGAAGGGGATACCTCTTCTGTGGTATTCTTCCCCCAATCCGTAACTTCAGTCTAACCATGAGAAAGCATCAGATGAACCCACAGGGAAGGAAATTCTATTCTGCAAATGTGTGACCAGTACTCCCCAAGTGTCCTGTTCTGCTCTTCAGACAGAACAACTCTACTAATCTATGGCCCAGGTTTGCTGCTTTCTTCTCCCAGCAGCTCAGATCTGCTGTTGAGCCACTCTACTGAATTTTTCTTTTCAAATCTGGAATTTCCATTTTTTTTTGTTGTTGTTGTTTTGTTTTGTTTTTTAAAATAATCTCTTTACTGAAATTCTCAATTTGCTTAATCATAGTCATCATACTTGCCTTTAATTTTTTTAAACTTGGATTCCTTCAGTTCTTTAAATGTATTTATAATGGCTGCTTTAAGTCTTCATCTGACTTTAAAGTCATCAGTCCAACATCTGCATTTCTCCTGCATTGCATGGTTACTGATTTCTCTGCTCAGTTTATTTTTTCAAATACTTGTTTCTTTCTTGCATTTATTTTTTTTAATTTTATCTTATTTTATTTTTTTGAGACAGAGTTTCAAAAAAGTTAAGTTGTTGCCCAGGCTGGGGTGCAATGGCATGATCTCAGCTCACTGCAACCTCAGCCTCCCAGTTCAAGTGATTCTCCTGCCCTAGCCTCCCAAGTAGCTGAGACTACAGGCGCCTGCCACCACACCCAGCTAACTTTTTTGTATTTTTAGTAGAGATGGGGTTTCCCCGTGTTGGCCAGGCTGGTCTCGAACTCCTGACCTCAGGTGATCTGCCTGCCTCAGCCTCCCAAAGTGCTGGGATTACAGGTGTGGGCCACAGCGCCTAGCCTCATTTATTTTTAATTATTCTTGTTTTTCTTTTTCAGCCTGGCTTCCTAGGGTTCACCCCTATCTGTATTCCTTAGTGGTTGTCAACCAATGATTGTGGTCAAACACCTTGAGCCAGTAATACTTTCACCCTGGATGGATCTGTGTATTTCGGGAGAAGTGCAGCAAAGTTCACGCGGTTTTAAACTCTGCTCTGGTTTTTACTTTCTGTTGGGCCCTCTCACATCTTTGCATGTGTATGCAGACTCATGTTTAGCCAGAATTGTGTGAGTAGCTTAGGCTGTCTTAGGCCTCTTCTGTGTAGATGTGTGGTCCCCCACAGCTTTCTCACTATCCAGATCTCACTAGTAAACTTCTAGCTAGTCAGCTGGGCCACTGCTTGCCCTAACTGGGATCAAGATCTAAGACCTGCTGAGCCACTGGTCTCTGTTTGTTTGCCACCAAGATGACTACTGTTACTGACAATGCTACTGGACATGAGGTTTTTCCACGCTCTGCTCCCTATCAAGTCAGCCCCCTCTGGCAGCAAAGCTGCTGCTTTTCACTATCTTCTCCACCCTGAGAGAAATTACTGTGCTGACCAAGCTTGAGGTGGTCAGCATAGTAATTCTCTCAATGCAGACTGAGGTGGAGGATAGGAGCAGTTCTAGCTAAGAACACCATGGACTTCCACTGTTCTTACCCAAAGTTCAAGGTTTTTTAAAATGAATAACAACTCTCAATTTAGTGTATGCCTTGGCAATTTCCAGGGCCTGGAAATGGTTGTTTTTGATAATTGCCTGTTTTAGTGTTGCTTTACGGGTAGGGGACTTGCTGAGTGATTAATTCCTCCATATTAGCATAGTTGACTTTAAAGCCAAAAGATTTTAATATTAACTTAGTATTAAGAATGTTCATATTAATATTGAAAAATACAAAGGTCCTTCACTGGTAATTCTATCTAAGTTTGTGTATAATTAAGTCATTACCAATGCAAAACATTACAACAGCAAATAATCCCATGCCAAATACAAATAATCAATTTTTGCAACAAAGTTCCAACAATTTCAGGAAGGACATAACAATTTTCCTTTAAAAAAGTCTATGGACCACCTCAAAAGCTCTATTTATTTACATACTTATTTACTTAATCATAACTCATCTTTCATGGTTACAGATAACAAAGGACTTTAGGTTTCAAAAGTTCAAAGAGGGAAAACTGGTGACACATTCTGGGGTTGGGCTATGTTTTCACCTACTAATGCTGTGGTATTCTCTCATATTTCAGAGGAAAATCTTTTCCTGCAAGACCCTGAGTGCACCTCACCTTTGGGCTCAGTGATAATGTGACTGACTCCAAGTCTCTGGCAGACATAATGGAAGGCTTGATTCCCAGGGTTACACCACTGATCGATATAGTCATTTGAGCATGTCCATAGCATGTTGTTCACTGTGTCATAACACGCTCCTGCAAAAAGAGCATACTGTATTCAGTCACCATGCCACCAGCTACCTGTATACATATTTCTCACAAGCACTGCTACAAAGTGGAAGGGCAAGGATGCTCTCTAATGTTGACAACCCACAACCCTAGTCCCACAGATTTATTTGGTAAGGCACTAGGTTGGGACTCGGCAAAGGCCAGCATTTAATTTTTAATTTTGCTTAACTCCTGTGTGAGGAGTAAATCTCACAAAATAGATAGCTCTTAGTAACTGATTTATCTGTGACCTACTTCCAAAGAGGATTTAAGTGGCTTACATTAAAAACACAGGTATAATAGGACCAATTAACATTAATGCAAAATAAAAAGCCCTAATAACTGAGCCCAAAACTTAGAAATAAGCTTCCTACCACCCACGGCAAAGAGAAAGTCCAGTATATTACTTAATGTTCATTTTCTAACAATAACAGGTATACCAATTCCTCACAGGAAATAAACTTTTTGTGGCATAAACCTGAGAATTTCTTATAGGCATCATCACACAACCTAATCAATAGTATCTTCAATTGCAGTTTATTCAGAGGAATTTTACATATGGCAATGTCTTATACTCATTCCCAAAATTAAAATTTAATATAAAAAAATTCTTTCTGGCTGGACACAATGGCTCATGCCTGTAATCCCAGCACTTTGGGAGGCCAAGGCAGGAAGATTGCTTGAGCCTAGGAGTTTGAGACCAGCCTGGGTGACATAGTGAGACCTTGGCTCTACAAAAAATAAACAAAATTAGCTGGGCATGGTGGTGTGCTCCTGTAGTCCCAGTTACTCAGGAGGCTGAGATGGGAGGACTGCTTGAGCCCAGGAGGTAGAGGCTGCAGTGAGCCAAGATCGTAACACTTCACTCCAGCCTAGGTGACAGAAGAGACCCTGTCTCAAACAAAACAAAACAAAACAAAACAAAAAACGTCTTTCTTTTCAAGAAAACTAGAATGCCACAGGGAACTGGCAAGACAGTTCAAGAGAAATTTGCTAAAACTTGAAATTTTCCAAAGATATGTGCAAGTTTATTTCTTACCCAATCCTGGTACGAGAGCACCACGCCCCAGTGAGCTTCCAGCAGCATCTATGAGATCTGCACGACTTGTAAACTGACCATCCGAAATATTATACACCAAGCTGGAGGCTAGGACTTTGGAAACAAACATTAAGCTGTTTAATGAGCCTGAAGATTATTTTTAAAGTTTAAATTTTAGGCTTTTAACAAGACTTTTATAAAAATCACACCCTTTTCTTGTTGTTGTGTATTGGTGGTAATTGGTGGTAAAGAGATGGAGAATACATGCATAAGACCACAGAAAGAAAACTGTCACCACCAGAAATTTTCCTAAATTTAATACCGAACCATAGTTTTCAAAGTGTTTTTAAAATGGCAACTTTTGCATGACGGTTCTTTCCGATATACATTATCAAAAGGGTAACTGCAAGAGGGGTTATGATCACTAATATCACAAGATGCAAATGTTTACAAGAAACACTTGGCAGTTAGTCAGTGTTCAATAAAGCTTGGTGTATACTCAAACACAGCTCAGCTGCAATCTTTCCTAATACTGGCTCTACAACTTGGACACACCCTGGCTTTTTCCCTTAACACAGGATAGTGCAGTATTAAAGAGCATGGACTTTGGGCTTCAGAGTTTGAATTCCAGCTCTAAAACTTTTGGGTGGCCCTGGGAAAGTCATTGAACATTTCAGTTTCCTCATTTCTAGAGTGGAAATAATAAAAGTCCTACCTTATATAGTTATTTTAAAGAATAAATGAGTTAAAATATGTCAAGGATCCACACCAGCATATATATATATATATATGTATTAATTGCTATCATTGATTTTATTTTCTTCCCCATTTTCAAACAAAACTTTAGCACTGTGTCTCTTGAGTTTTCTTCTTTTTCATATTTTAATCACCCTAGTAGCCCAGATCCGCATCGTGCCTAACTTAAGTTATAACATAAATGATACTCTTTTTTCTATTTTCTACTGTTTCATTAAACAAAATGGGACAGTGGAAAATAGACCTCCAAATCTCTTTTTTCATGGTACTTAACCATACATATGCTTTCTCCCCACTTGGCCACTTATATGAATAATATCCGTTCTTTATGGCTTAAACTCAAAACCTCATGAAGTCTCTCCTTTCTACCCCACTCCACAATGAGCCTTTCTTTCTCAGATTGTGCAGCTCACAAATCTGCTCCACATGGATCCTTCCAGCAGGGATGCAGCATTGTCTATCATTTTCTCATTGTCTCACATATCTACGTCATCTCTCCTAACTAGACTAAGAGCTGTTAAAGGCAAGCACCAATTCTTCCACTTTCTGAGCAGCCCCCACAGTAGCCGAAGAGGAACAGGACACAGAAGGAATTTAAGCATTTACTGATTTGTTGCACTAAAGCAGAATCACTGTGTAAGCTATATCCTCATGAAAGAATGGTACCATGAAGACCCACTTTAATTAAATGGGGTCAATTTCAACTGAGCAAAAAAGCCATGCCAAGGAGACTAAACACAATTTAATAAGACTAATGGTCATAATATGTGGTAATAGGAGGAAAAAAGAGGGGGAAAAAAAGAAAAGACTGATGGTCAATAACATAAAAACCCAATTTTTATTTTTGTTTTATTTATTTATTTAGAGACAGAATCTCGCTCTGTCGCCAGGCTGGAGTGCAGTGGCGCGATCTAGGCTCACTGCAACCTCCAGCTCCCAGGTTCAAGCAATTCTCCTGCCTCAGCCTCCTGTGTAGCTGGGACTACAGGCACGCGCCACCACGCCCAGCTAATTTTTGTATTTTAGTAGAGATGGGGTTTCACCACGTTGGCCACGATGGTCTCGATCTCTTGACCTCATGATCTGCCCGCCACAGCCTCCCAAGTGCTGGGATTACAGGCGTGAGCCACTGCGCCTGGCCAAAAAACCCAATCTTTAAATGGATAAAAGACTTTGGAGGAATAGATATTCCTCCAAAGAAGGTATACAAATGGCCAATAAGCACATGAAAAGATGCTAAGCATCATTAGTCATTAAGGAAATGCATAAAATCACAATGAGGTACAACTTCATATCCACAAAGATGGCTATAATCAGAAAAATGGAAAATAACAAATGTTGGTGAGGATGTAGAGAAAATAGAACCATTATACTTTGGAGATGAGAACGTAAAATGGTATGGCCACTTTGGGAAACAGTTTAGCAGTCCCTCCAAGGGTAAACATACAGTTACCATATGACCCAGCGATTCCACTCCTACGTATGTGCCCAAGAGTATGAAAAACATCCACACAAAACTTACATACTAATGTTCATAACAGCATTATTCAAAATAGCCAAAAAGTAGAAACAACTCAAATGTCCATCAACTTATGAATGGATAAACAAAATGGGATATTATCCACACTATGAAATATAATTCAACCATAAAAAGTAATGAAGTACTGATTCATGCTGTAATATGGATGAACCTCGAAAACATTATGTTAAGTTTAAAAAGCAGTCACAGACTCACTCCATCCTGCCACCCTGTGAAGACGCCTGCTTCTCCTTTGCCTTCCGCCATGATTGTAAGTTTCCTAAGGCCTCTCCAGCAATGCGCAACTGATGGATAAAACAACTTGGAACCAATAAAAAAGAGCTGGGTCTGGTGTCAAGAGACTTGGACCACATCACTTCACCTGTCTGAGCCTCAGTGACCACGTAGTGATCCCATGGCTAAAGACTGAGAAAGATCTAGGATCACTGGTGTCCAATAATAAATGCACATTTGCAAGCACTAAGGAGAAAACCTCACTCCATGTACTTTCTTCCTGGAGACCAAGCCCACTACAGCAAGGAGTATCTTCAAGCGAGGGTGGAATTGTGCATGAATAGAGAATACTCTCCATCTCTTCTCACATCACACAGCTCTCCAGTTGATACAATATTCAACTATATTTACATCGAGGGAAAAATGATTCTATATTTATATATAACTCTCCATAATGTGTCAAGTGTCCTCACACTATCCTATGTGGTAGGTATAATCATCTGCACATTTTTTTTAATGGGAAAGTTGAGGCTTTGAATGATTAATTTCCCCAAGATAATAGTTACTAAAAGAAACAAGATTTTTACATGTCTGTCTGCATCTACTTTTATAGCTCCTGATTTTATTCGTAGCTCAGCCACCATAATATGCACAGAATGAGACAAAATAATAAGTGGTATTTTGCTACTATCGAGTAAAACCAAAAATTAAAAATCAAGCAAATAAACAAACAAACGAAAAAGCAGTCATAAAAGGCCATATGTTGTATAATTCCATTTACATGAAAAGTAGAGTATAGGTAACTCCACAGAGACAGAAAGTAGATTGGTAGATGCCAGGGGTCAGGGAGTAGGAGAGCAACTGTTGATGAGTATGAGGTTTCTTTTTGGGGTGACGGATAGATTAGTGGTAATGACTGCACAACTCTGTGAACATATTAAAAACCACTGAATTGTATATTTTAAAGGGGTGAAATTTACGGTGTGTGAGTTATATTTCAATAAAGCCACCGCCCCCAGCCTGAGGAACATTTAATTCTATACTTTATCCCATTTAACTATGTGTGCACTCTGAAGCCAAAATTACACTGCTTTCATTACTACAGTGTGCCTCCTTATAATAATATATGGATATTTTAAAATACTAACACATTTTTACACATTTGCTTTTCTATGTCTTATGCTTAGTATTTTGTATATGTGTCCTAAAATGGAGGTGTTTTACATATGTATTTTAATAGCTTTGAAATTCTATTGGCAGGGCGTGGTGGCTCATGCCTGTAATCCCAGCACTTTGGGAGGCCAAGGTGGGTGGATCACCTGAGGCCAGGAATTCCAGAACAGACTGGCCAACATGGCGAAACGCCATCTCTACTAAAAATAAAAAAATTAGCCGGGCATGGTGGCATGTGCCTGTAATCTCAGCTACTAGGGAGGCTGAGGCAGGAGAATCACTTCAACCCGGGAGGCAGAAGTTGCAGTAGGCTGAGATCATGCCACTGCACTCCAGCCTGGGTGACAGAGCAAGACTCCGTCTAAAAAAAAAGAAATTCTATCATAGTGAGTAGAGCTCTTGCTGTATCATCAGTAAATAATGTGACAAAATATTATTTTATTTCCTAAAACTTTGTTGAACTGATTATTTCTATTAATTTTATAGGACAATAGTTTTCAAAACTATACTAATATGCCATCCACAAAAAATTATATTGTTAAATCTTCCTAGCCTATTTGATAATTGGTATTTTTTGTTATCAGAGAGCTATTGCAAACAACTATTTAACAAAGTAAGTTTTAAATAATTAATAGGAAAGCTTTAAATTTCAGAGTTTGAGATAAATCGAGGAAAGTGCCACAAGTAAAATTCACTTACTTTTTAAAGATGACAAACCACTTGTTCCACCAAAAAGAGATCGGGTGGCAGAGCTGCCTGATCCCCCTGGAGGAGGCACCAGCATCACCAAGTAGGTGCCACAGGTATATATGGGTGTCTTCCGCAGCATTTTTAGAGGCAGCCCACAGCTAGTATTTGCTGGAGAAAGGAATGAAAATGCTAAATCAAAATATTTGACACAAAAGTTAATTTGATTACCAACACAGATTAGGATATAATGAGGGAGACCCAAACTCAAACAAAGATTTGGAAAACAGATTTCCAGATTAGGAAAACAGAATAAGAAGTAATAGCTAAGGAAAAAAATAATTATCTTCTGGCTCCACAGCCTGACCCTGAGCCTCCTATTTATATGGTCTGAACATTTCTTGACAGTGCTCCCAATCCTCAATATGCCATCATGCCTCTACAAATTATTCCAAAAAAATAAATCCTCACATGGACTAAATCTCAAAATAAGAGAAGAATCCTAGTATTTGTTTGTGTTTCCCCTAGAAAACTGATATAGGTTGAGTACATTTATCTGAAATGCCTGGGACCAGAAGTGTTTTGGATTTCAGATTTTTTCAGAATTTGAAATATTTGGATTATACTTAAGAGTTGAGCATTCCTAATTGAAAAATCCAAAATCCAAAATATTCCAGTGAACATTTCCTTTGTTTTCATTTATTTTTACTCATTACATCTGAGATTAGTGAGAACATTTCCTTTGAGCATCATGTAGGCACTCAAAAAGTTTCAGATTTGGGAGCATTTTAGATTTTTAGATTTGGGATGAACAACCTATATTCCAATCAAGATCTTGGTTTTTTTTTCCCATTTTATATAGAACAAATTCTTGACAGGCTTGTGATATTAAACTCATAATAAACAGCTTTCAACATGAAATCGGCCAAAATTTCAACCTAATGAAAGCTTTCACAATATCTATCACAAAACAATTTTATAGCTGTGTAATTTATTATAACCCCTTATATACATTTTTCTTTTTTTTAAGGGTCAATGACATAAACTGTCATTAGGAAAATAATTATTGTTTCTAATCAAGAGGTGTAAAATGTACTTTAATCTCCCTTACTGGCATATCTAGAAAGTGGAGTGAATTTACGGATTTTCTATATACAAGCCTAGCGAGGATTGATTATGTCAACAGAGAATCAACTGGAGTGCTTTACTTAGAAAGCTGTCAGGCTATAAAATATAACTTATTATCTATAGCCTGGATAGATGAAAATCATTTTTAGATGGTTTAGATTAGAAGAGTGAGTAAAGTGAAACCTAATCTATCTGATATTTGTTTTGAATGCTTGTGCTTCTAAAAAGCTTTTTTTTTTTTAAGCTGCAAGCCCCCACCAAGTATATTCTTCATTAAGGACATAAATTCAAGAAGATAAATTTCCACTGGTAAGAAACCTAAAGACAGCAATAATTGGAAAATTAGCAACTTTGTGAGTATACCATTTTCACCAAGATGTTTTCAATAGACATATGCTTATTAAGATGGCAATAGGTATTAGTTTTTAATGGAATAAAAACTTTTTTTTTTTTTTTTTTTTGAGACTGAGTCTCACTGTTGTCTGCCTGGGCTGCAGTACAATGGAGCCATCTCGGCTCACTGCAACTTCCACTTCCTGTGTTCCAGCAATTCTCCTGCCTCAGCCCCTCCCGAGTAGCTGAGACTACAGGAGCCCACCATCACACCCGGCTAATTTTTGTATTTTCAGTAGAGATGGGGTTTCACCATGTTGGCCAGGCTGGTCTTGAACTCCTGACCTCAGGTGATCCACCCACCTCAGCCTCCCAAAATGCTGGGATTATAGGCATAAGCCACTGCCCCTGGCCAAAACCTTACAGACACCTTGAATGTTCGCTTACTTTTGAAAAGTTTCTTAGTTTATAACTGGTGAATTTTTAATTTAATGTAGCAACATCACGTTAAAGAATCCACATAAAAGTACGATGATTGCTTAAGCCCAGGAGTTTGAGACCAGCCTGGACAACATAACAAGACCTCATGTTTTTTTTAAAAAAAAAAAGTACAATGAGACCACATGTTTAGAATACAGATACCCGTTTCTACCAAATTCTAGTATATGTGCTGCCAAAGCGTGCACATTTCTACCAAATTCTAAATATGTCCTTGCCTTCTGAGGTCTTTCTTTGATATTATACATATTTTCAACAAGCATTCTTTTAGTATTTCCATTGTTTAGGGTAAGATTTCATTTTCTCCCAAGGGACAAACCCAGATCAGGCCTTCAGCTTGTCATGAAAATGTTTATTTAGGTAACAACAAAAACAAAAACAAAAAAAACTGTCCTCTAGAAAGTATCTTCTACAGTTGGAATTATCCACTTACCCAAATCATAAAAACTATTAACAATTTTGCCACTTACCTTTGATACAAAAGAAGCCTGTGAAAATAAAATACTGTCCTTAAATTCTAATATGGACTAATAAGTATTTAATTTGGTAGTCTCATAATAAATTAACTATAAATATTTTCTCTTCCTAGCATTTCCAACTATAAAAATAAAGCATAAGATTACACTGAATTCATTAAATGCATATTAATTCAGATGCAGTTTTCTACATATGGCATCTTTTTCTAGCTTTATCTTTTACTGCAGTTCATAGTTTGCTATAAATCCAAATATTTGGTATGTAATCTGTAAACTCTATGGAATAATGGTTCTTAATGTTTTTGGGGGTCATAGATGACTCTGAAAATCTAATGAAAGTTATGACAGATACATATAAAATGATATCTAAAACTTTGAGGGAGTATGTTTAATAACATACTCCCTTAAAGGTGTATCCTGGTTAAGAACTCCTACTTTAAAAGTGCAGAACAGCCAGGCGCGGTGGCTCACGCCTGTAATCCCAGCACTTTGGGAGGCCAAGGTGGGCGGATCACGAGGTCAGGAGATCGAGACCATCCTGGCTAACACGGTGAAACCCCGTCTCTACTAAAAATACAAAAAATTAGCCAGGCGTGGTAGCGGGCGCCTGTAGTCCCAGCTACTCGGGAGGCTGAGGCAGGAGAATGGCGTGAACCTGGGAGGCGGAGCTTGCAGTGAGCTGAGATCGCGCCACTGCACTCCAGCCTGGAAGACAGAGCAAGACTCCATCTCAAAAAACAAAAACAAAAACAAAAAACAACAACAACGAAAAAAAAAGTGCAGAACAATGTATATAGTATACTACCTTCTATTAAGAAAAGGCAGAAATTATGAACATATAAATTTATCTTTAATTATATTTGCATAAACAAACACTGGAAGGATAAATGAAAACTAATAAATATAGTTACCTGTGGTGGGGTAGGGTGGGGTCACAATATAAAATTTACCAACATGGTAAGAATAAGACTTCTCTGCATATACCTTTTTACATTGTTTTGACTTTCAAATTCTGTACGTGTATTATCTATTTTAAAACATTAAATTAAAAAACTAAATGATAAATTCTAAAAAACAAAATATCTACTGTAGAAGGCTTTTCTGTTATTTGCTTGGTCAAGACTGTATTTAGGGAAGATGATGCTAAGTATCAGGTTTTCTCATTCACAAAGCATACGCAAAATATGAAATCAACTAATTTATATGAATGGTGATGATGATAAGGTGTTTACAGTTTAACATGGGGCTATTTTGCATTCTTACAGGTTCATATGAATTTGTGTCCATAGCCTACAACATGTATTGGCTTGGAATAAAAAGCTGGACAATGACTGGAAGACCAAATAAAGTCAACTATGCAAAGGAAAGGGCTTTGTACAGCACGGACGAAGTGCTCAATAAGACGTAGCTGAACAGAGCTATACAAGGAAACAGATCTGGGAAGCACAGAGTAACATACCTGCTTGATCCTCTTTCAGTGTGTTGGAGATGGTGGAACCAGTCAGGGCAGCAAGCGTTGCTGACGGGGAGGCTCTATACCGAGAAAGTCTACTTAGAAGCATCTCATTAATGCTTTTGGCAGATTCGCCCTCTTTTCTCATTAGAATTGTACGTTCCTGAAGTGGGTTGGCTACAAATACACCATTTTCAACCTAACATAGAAAAAAAGGAGGTCCTAAAATGATATCTGTTTCCATTTAGTTAGCAAATTTCTACTGAGGATATTATTGTGAGTAAATAAAAAATATTTCAAAAACTGCTCCTGAGTAGATGTATACCTTAAAACTTAAATGTGCTATAGAAACTACTACAAACAAAAGAGACTATGCTAAGTTTGAGATCTTTCACTTTTCATAATAGCTATAATGTTTAATAGGTCTATGAAAAGTTGTTGATTAAAATTCCTTACACTGGATTCCACAGGCAGCGCTTACTAATTACATGCCTCTGACAGGTTGAAGTCAAATGAGAGGAAAACAAATCAATCAGTCTTTGATTTACTGTTAAGGACAACTATGAGGATAATGTCTTCTCGAAATATCTTCAGTGGCTAAAATCCAAACTCTTTATTAACAGCAGTTAACATTAGCACCAGCTGCTCAGGCCCTGGCAGAGCAAGCCTGGACAAAGCCAGACTTTGCTAAAAATACACATCAACTTCAACTGGATCTTTGCTGGTGCTTTGCAGTTCTTTCATTCATCACTTGGTTATTCCCCAGAAAAATCTTTGGAGTGGTGACTCCAAAATTCCTTCACCAATTTTGAGCTTGACTTTCAGCAGACCACCTGGTTTTCTTCTTTCTTCTTTTTTTTTTTTTTTTTCTTTTTCCACCTGGCTTTCTGTATTGCTAAAAAGATCCAGACCACTTACTATAAGCTTCTCCTACTCACGTCTCTTCCAACTTAAGAATCTTGGGACCCAGCCTCATTTACTATTTCCTTTGTCTTAATTCAGAGGAAGAAGGATTTCACCTCATATTATTGAAGATGAACCCTTCCACTTCTGCCTCAAGTCCTGTGCTCCCCTCTGCCTCTTCATCATTAGTGTCTCCCTCTCTATTGAGTTCCTTCTCTTTGTTTTCAAATATTCACAGGTCTTAAACAAAACCTTGGTGGCCCATTAAAATATCACCCCTTTTGTCAAATCTCTCATGGCCCCTTTCTAGATCCAAGAACTGGGTCCCCACCAGCAAAGACAGGCAGGACTGGCCTGCAGCTGTGGGGTGTGGAGATAAGAGGGAATGGGAGTGCAAAGTGGCAAATCTTCAGAAGCAAAGGGAAAGCAAAAGAGGAGTCCACAGGGAAAGGTTGGTAACACAGAAGGGGCAAGAGAAAGTGAGTAAACTCAGGAGCACAGCCAGGAAAGATTCCCAAAGGTGGGTGTACGTAGTGGGGGAGTCTTTTATGACATATTCACAAATGATAAAGAAAAAGATTTGTTACAGAGTCCAAAAATGCTGTTTCTATTTCCCCATCCCCTGCTTTTTAACCCTTTGCAGTTGGTAGTCTCTGAATTCAGCACACTCTAATGAGTCGGCAATCTCAATGGTCCACCAGTGACCTAAAACCAAAACCACTGACCTTTTCCTTGACTTCCTTGCAGGTCGCGCCATCACTGCCATCCTTCTTGGGATTCTGATTCCTTAGTGTTGGTGGCAGAACACAAGCCTGGTTTGTTTCTTTTTGTTTCTTTTTTTTGAGACAGGGTCTTGCTCTGTCACTCAGGCTACAGTGTAGTGGTGTGATCACAGCTCACTGAACCCTCAATCTCCCCAGGCTCAGATGATCCTCCCACCCCAGCCTCTCGAGTAGCTGGGACCACAGGAATGCGCCACCACATCTGGCTAATTTTTGTATTAATATTTTTTGTAGAGACAGGGTTTTGCCATGTTGCCCAGGCTGGTCCTGAACTCCTAGGCTCAAGCAATCTGCCTGCCTCAGCCTCTCAAAGTGCTGGAATTACAGGCGTGAGCCACCATGCCCAGCCTGGTTTGTTTCTTTTTAACATGAACACTTACCTCTGTGTAAAGTGCTCACTGTGCTGGCGAGTGAAGCCAGCACAGTCCCTGCCCTCCTTCCTGTCTCTCTCTTTGCTGGTCAACATCTTCATTTGCTTAAATGGGACCTTTCCCAAGATTAGACCTACCCCTGGTGTCCAAGACCTCCACCTGGAATGCTCTATCCCTAGACCTTCCAGAGACTGGCTCTTTCCTATCATTCAGGTCTTAGTTAAACGTTACCCACTCAAAGAGGTCTGCCCTGGTTGCCAATCTAAAAAAGAATCCTCCCCAGCACCCCAACCCAGAGCACATCATGCTGTTTCATTATCTACACAGCACGTACTACTCTCTGAAATTATTTTACTCATGAAGTCATTTATTCTTTGCCCTTCTACCTTAACACGTCCCAATGAATGCCAACTCCCTGAGAACAGGGATCCACCTGCCTTGTTTGCCATAACATCCCCAGCACTTAGGAGGCATTCAATGAATACTCGATTGCTTGCTGAATAAACAGATCAGGGCCCTCCCCCAAATCCAACTCCGCTTCTCTATGGCAACTCCCACATTTCTATTTACAGACCCATCCTTGCTACTACGATCTAGTTCCACTTTTCTAACTGCCCCTCACCCTCCCCACCGACATTTCTACTTGAACAGCCTCCTGTCACCTAAAATTCAACACATCCACCTCTTACTTCATTGTCTTACCCCAACTCTCCTACTAGATTAACTTTTAGCAAGCATAGCTCTATTTACATTGCACAATTCTAAATATACTCCTTCAAAAGCATCCAAGATAAAAATCAATCACTTTAAGCTTGGCATTCAAAAGCATTACCCAATCTGGCCCTATGAGAAAATCAATAGATACCTTAAAAACAAACAAAACACTATATTATTGTATTTGAGTACTTTGAAAATACTGCAAAGAAAAACTGATAAAACACCTGTGTGATACAAGTAGGGCTGAAGTTTGCTGCAAAATGGTAAATCTGCTGGAAATCCCTACTTTAGCAAAGGCGCTCTTCAGGGTAAGAAGCTGCTGATTTAGGAAGACAGGAAGAGCTGGGAGGAGTGAGAAGCAGCCCAGGCTTCCTTCCTGGCAACCACTCTGGTCCAAGTCCACATCATCTCAAGAGAGATTATTAGACCAGCCTCCCAACCTGTCTTCCCACTTCCACAGGCACCCCAATGGTTTACTCTCTGCATAGCCAGTGATCATTTAAAAATGTAAATAAAGCCAGGCACAGTGGTTCACACCTGTAATCCCAGCACTTTGGGAGGCCAAGAAGGGAAGATCACTTGAGCCCAGGAGTTCGAGACCAGCCTGGGCAACATAGTTTGAGACCAACCTGTCTCAAACACACACACACACATACACACACAAAATTATCCAAGGGCAGTGGCACACGCCTGTAGTCCCTGCTACAAGGGAGACTGAGGCGGGAGGATTGAAAGAGCCCAGGAAGGGAAGGCTGCAGTGAACCATGATTGCACCACTGCACTCCAGCCTGGGCAACAGAGGGAGATCCTGTCCCACCCCGCCCCACCAAAAAAAAAGGTAAAACCATGTCTTCCCTCATTTAAAACCCTGCAGTGGTTTTCCAACACACTTATGATAAAATCCAAATTACTGACAGGGCCTCACAAGGGCCAATGTCTGCTGACCTCCTCAGCATCATCTGCCTCAACTCAACCCTCTCTCACTACATTTTTAGCTACACTCGCCTTCTGTCACACCTCCAAAATACCATGCTTCCTCCTAATGCTGGGCCTTGGTACTTGCTATTCCCTCTTGTGCTACCCATCCGTTGCAGTTTGCCTGGAACTGCAGGTTTTAGCACCGAAAGTTCCATGTCATGAGCAATCAATCCCTCAGTCTCAAGCAAACTGGGATAGTTGGTCACCCTGTCTGTCAGGATGGATGGCTTCTTATCATTCAGGTCTCAGCTCAAATGTCTTTCCTTAGAAAGGCCTTATGTGCCCCGCAAGCTAAAGGAGCTCCCCATCTCCACCCCATGCACTCCCTCTCACATTATCCTGTTTAATTTTCTCCCCAGCATTTATCACTAGCTGAAATTATTTTGTTCTTATTGTTTGCTTCCGTATTGTCCCACTTCCCATACTCTAATATAAGCTCCACGAAAACAAAAGCTTATTTACTGGGCTACCCAGATACGGCAATATAGTATAGGCTCTCAATTAATACAGAATGAAGGAAGGGTAGCTTAGTCATCTGGATCATAACTGGAAGGAAACAACAAACCCTTAGGGAGAAGAGGGGAAGACTCTTAGTGTGTCCATTACTACATTGACAATACCTTTAGGAAGTAACATAAGGAGAGAAAAATAGCAATAAAATTGTCACTAATAAAATTTTAAAACTGCAGTTTATATAGAGCACATGGGGGCAGAAGACCTCTCAGAACAAAACAGAAGTGAGGATATTTTTTCAAAAGAGGCTTGAAAAGGTAAAAAAGAGTTATAGGCTGGGTGCAGTGGCTCCCAGCTGGATTACGCCTGTAATCCCAGTAGGTAGAGGCAGAGGCAGGAGAACAGCTTGAGCCCAGGAGTTAGAGACCACAGTGAGACCCCACTCTCTAAAAAAAAGAAAAAAAGAGTTATAGAAGATTCTCAAGCAGGAATGTGTCCAGAGTAGAAGTAGCCAAATCAGGCAGAAAGATTACATGCTTCAGCTATTTTGTAGTCTTAAAGACCAGAATTGTGTTCTAGAGTTTCAGAAGGCCTGTTGCTCCATGTGGGTAGACTGTCACATTGGTGGCCCCTAATGAATGATGCATCCTTGTATTCATGCCCTTGTATAGTCCCCGTCCAAGTCTGGACCTGGTCAGATGACTTTTTTTTTTTTTTCTACATTAGAAAGCAAGTTGCTGGCCAGGCACGGTGGCTCATGCCTGTAATCCCAGCACTTTGGGAGGCTGAAGCAGGTGGATCACTTGAGGCCAGGAGTTCGAGACCAGCCTGGCCAACGTGGTTAAACCCCATCTCTACTAAAAATACAAAATTAGCTAGGTGTGGTGGTATGCACCTGTAATTCCAGTTACTGAGGCAGGAGAACCGCTTGAACCCAGGAGGCAGAGGTTGCAGTGAGCGGAGATCACACCTCTGCACTCCAGCCTAGGTGACAGAGCAAGACTCTGTCTCAAAAAAAAAAAAAAAAAGATGCAGCAAGGGGCAGTGGCTCATGCCTGTAATCCCAGCACTTTGGGAGGTTGAGGCTAGCGATTGCTTGAGCCTAAGAGTTCAAGATCAGCCTGGGCAACATGGCAAAACTCAGTCTATAAAAAAAATATAAAAATTAGCCAGGCATGGTGGCATGAGCCTGTAGTCCCAGCTACTCAGGAGGCTGAGGTGGGAGGAATGCTTGAGCCCAGAGTGGGGAGTTTGCAGTGAGTGAGCAGAGATAGTAGCACCACTACACTCCAGCCTGGGCCATAGAGCAACACAATGTCTCAAAAAAAGAAAGCATGATGCAAGCAGAGACTTGATATCCACTTGTCCTCTTGAAAAGCTCCTTCCTGAAAACCAGCTTCCATGATGTCGAGCTTCAGCATACATTACTGAATAATGGATGCCAAGTGGAGAGAGGCCCTAGAGGATGACAGGCCATCTTCAGTGGCACAGCCCAAGCTAAGCTCCCAGTTGAATGAAGCTGCAGATGTGACTTCAGCTTCACCATGCAGAGCAGAAGAACCACCCAGCTGAGCCCCATCAACCTATACATCATTGTTACCTGAAGTTACTTAGCTTGGGGATTGTTCACTGAGTAAAAGTAAATAACTGAAATACCTTAAAAGTCAGAGAAATTCTATGATCCAAATGTTAGAGGTCATTTTATATTAATAATAGTTTGTTAGTTAAGCAGGATAATCTCGACATTCCATTTTGTTACATCATATTCCTAAATATATCTCTTCTCCTCTCTTCTTTTTCTTTTCTTTTTGAGACAGGGTCTTGGTGTATCACCCAAGCTGGAGTGCAGTGGCACGATCATGGCTCACTGCAGCCTTGACCTTCAGGGCTCAAGCGATCCTCCCACCTCATGCTACTTACTAGCTGAGACTACAGGTGTGAACCACCACACCCAGCTAATTAAAAAAAATTTTTTTGTAGAAATGGGGTCTCACTATGTTGCCCAGGCTGGCCTAAATATATTTCTATAGTCTGCCTTTTATAACAACTAGTTATCTAATTCCATGCTTAGTTAACAAGGTATCATTTTGAGAGGTAAGCATGGCTAGTTAGATTCTGCTCTCTGATCTTAGTCGTTTCAATCCATTAGTTTTCCCTGAGTCTTAGGTACCAAGAGATCTATTTGGTATAATCAAGCTGAGCTGACTGTTTTATGAAAAATGACATAATGGAGGAATACAGATGGTGTTCCAAGAATTTTTTTAATGTTTAGGTTTTTTTTTCTAATGATAAAACTAATATATGGTTACTCTTGGAAATCTGGGGGGAAGAAAGAAAACTATAAATAAGAAAAGCTACCATTATTCTTTGTTTGTTTGTTTGTTTTTTTGAGACAGTCTCACTCTGTCAGCCAGGCTGGAGTGCAGTGGCATGATCTCAGCTCACTGCAACCTCTATCTCCCGGGCTCAAGCAATTCTCCTCCCTCAACCTCCCGAGTATCTGGGATTACAGGTGTGTACCACCACGCCCAGCTAATTTTTGTATTTTTAGTAGAGACAGGGTTTCACCATGTTGGCCAGGCTGGTCTCCAACTCCTGACCTCAGGTAATCCTCCCGCTTCGGCCTCCCAAAGTGCTGGGATTACAGGCATGAGCCACCGCACTCGGCCTATTCTTTCTTTTTAAAGGGATAATCAGTTAATGTTTTAAGTTCTAGCATTTAAAGAAGTCAGGCCAGGCACAGTGGCTCATGTCTTTAATCCCAGCACTTTGAGAGGCCGAGGCTGGTAGATTGCTTGAGCTCAGGAGTTTGAGACCAACCTGGGCAACATGGTGAAACCCCATCTATACAAAACATACCAAAATTAGCCCAGCAAGGTGGTGTGTGCCTGTGGTCCCAGCTACTTGGGAGGCTAGGTGAGAGGATCACTTGAGCCCGGGAGGTTGAGGCTACAGTAAGCCGTGATCATACCACTGCACTCCAGCCTGAGTGATAAAGTGAGAGCTAGTCTCAAAAAAAATAATCAATCAATCAATCAATCATAGGCTCTAGAAAATAATTTTTTAAATTAGCTGGGCATGGTGGCGGGCGCCTGTGGTCCCAGCTGTGAGGGAGGCAGACGTGAGAAGATCGCTTGAGCCTGCAAGGTTCTAGGCTGCAGTGAACTGTGATCACACCATTCCACTCCAGCGTGGGCAAAAGAGCAACACCCTGTCTCAAAAAATAATAATAATAAATAAAATATAATGAAGAAATCAGGCCGGATGTGGTGGCTCACGCCTGTAATCACAACACTTTGGGAGGCCGAGGAAGGCAGATCACCTGAGGTCGGAAGTTTGAGACCAGCCTGACCAAAATGGAGAAACCCTGTCTCTACTAAAAATACAAAAATTAGCTGGGCATGGTGGTGTATGCCTGTAGTCCCAGCTACTCGGGAGGCTGAGGCAGGGGAATCACTTGAACCTGGGAGGAGGAGGTTGCGGTGAGCTGAGATCACACCATTGCACTCCAGCCTGAGCAACAAGAGCGAAACTCCGTCTCAAAAAAAAACAAAACAAAAAAAAAAAACAAATCACAGATAGTTTTGGATGCTGCATGATACCACTGGGATCAATAAAAGGATTTGTCACCAATTTTTAAAAGAATATATCCCGATTCTGCTCACTTTTTTACCACCTCCATCATTACTTCACCCTCAGTCCAACACATTAATTATCTTTCACCTGGTCTGTGGCAACAACTTCCTACTAATCCCATTCCTGCCCCCTTCTCACAAGGTGCATTCTTTTAAAAAATGTTTCTTTACAAAATTTTTCTTAATACTAAAATATACACAAAAAGAAACATGTAAAAAATGTTTCTTTACAAAATTTTTCTTAATACTAAAATATACACAAAAAGAACTAGTAATATCCGCTTACTATCACTCTAGATACAAGTTATCAAGATTTTGACATATTTGCTTCATCTCTCCCAGTCATTATGTCATTTCACCCCCACATATTTCAGTGTATATCACTATAAAATATAGATATTCTTTAATAACTACAATGTAATCACACTTATTATTAGCAATAATTCTTGACATCATCTAATATTGAGTCCATAATTCAATTTCCCCAATTTTCTCAAAAATACTTTTTACAGGCCAGGTGCAGTGGCTCAAGTCTATAATCCTAGCACTTTGGGAGGCTGAGGTGGGAGGGTCACTTGAGCCCAGGAGTTCAAGGCCAACCTGGGCAACATAGTGAGACCCCCCCATCTTTAAAAAAAAAGAAAAAAGAGCCAGGCGCAGTGGCTCACATTTGTAATCCCAGCACTTTGGGAGGCCGAGGCGGGCGGATCATGAGGTCAGGAGATTGAGACCATCCTGGCTAACATGGTGAAACCCCGTCTCTACTAAAAATACAAAAAATCAGCCAGGCGTGGTGGTGGGCCCCTCTAGTCCCAGCTACTCGGGAGGCTGAGGCAGGAGAATGGCGTGAACCGGGGAGGCGGAGCTTGCAGTGAGCCAAGATTGCGCCACTGCACTCCAGCCTGGGTGACAGAGTGAGTCTCCATCTCAGAAAAAGAAAAAAAATACTTTTTACAGTTGGCAATTGGTTTGTTTGATTCAGGAACCAAACAAGATGCAACCTACACATTATATACATTTGGTTTGTCTCTTTAAGTCTCTTCTGGCTTTATTCTTTACCCCAAACCTACAATGAACCTTTAAAACACGATCCCATCACTTTCCTGCTCAACAATTTCCAGGAGTCTCCCATCTCACTTAGAATAAAATCCCAATACCTTGCAAGGCCCTATAAGATATGGCCCTGGCTACGTCTCCAACTTCATCTCCCATTACTCACTCTCATCACTCCACTTGAGACACACAGACTTCTTGTTGTTCTTCCTCAACAAGCCAACCTCATGCCTATCTCAGGGGCATCTGCATATGCCATTTCCTGTCTGTAATGCTCTTCTGCCAGATCTTTACATGTCTCATTCCTTTATTTTATTCAGGTGTCAATGTAAATACCACCTCCTCAGAGAGGCTCCCCTGATCATTACCTAGAATAGTCCCACACCAAACACACACTAAATCATTTCTCTATTGCTTTACTTCATCTTCCTTTATAATATTTACCAATGCTTGAAACTGTGCTTCTGTCTCCTCCACAAGAATGTAAGCTCCATGAGGACAGAGATCTCACTGTCTTTTCTATACTGTATCACCAGCTCCTAGGATACTACCTGGCATGTAGAAGGCCCTTTGTAATGTAGGAGATGAATGAATATGTGAAGACATAGCTATCTAAACTTGAGGCTACTGCATGAAGTGCCCAGCACTTACATCAGTAAGGCTGGATGAGAAGCTTCCATTTGTATACAGTGGATTAGGATCACAAGCATGCCACAAAATAAAAATACCGGGAAAAAAATCTTTCGGCCAGGTGCGGTGGCTCATGCCTGTAATCCCAGCACTTTGGGAGACCGAGGTGGACAGATCACAAGGTCAGGAGTTTGAGACCATCCTGGGCAACATAGTGAAACCCCGTCCCTACTAAAAATACAAAAATTTAGCCAGGGGTGGTGGCGGGCACCTGTAATCTCAGCTACTAGGGAGGCTGAGGCAGGAGAATTGCTTGAACCCAGGAGGCGGAGGTTGCAGTGAGCTGAGATCACACCATTGCACTCCAGCCTGGGCAGCAATGAGAGACTCCATGTAAAAAATAAGTAAAAAAATATTTCATGAGGGATGTTATTGAGGGGATTCAAATATCGAATGAGGGCCAGATGCAGTGGCTCACGCCTATAATCTCAGCAGTTTGGGAGGCCGAGGCGGGTGGATCACTTGAGGTCAGGAGTTCGAGACCAGCCTGACCAACATGGTGAAACCCCGTCTCTACTAAAAATACAAAAATTAGCTGGGTGTGGTGGTGGTGCCTGTAATCCCAGCTACTCAGGAGGCTGAGGCAGGAGAATCGCTTGAACATGGGAGGCGGAGGTTGCGGTGAGCCGAGATCGCACCATTGCACTCCAGCCTGGGCAACAGAGCAAGACTCTGTCTCAAAAAAAAAAAAAAAAAAAAAATTAGCTGGGCATGGTGGTGGTGGCTTGCGCCTGTAATCTCAGCCACTCGGGAGGCTGAGGCAGGAGGATTTATTGAACCTGGGAGACAGAGGTTGCAGTGAGCCGAGATCGTGCCACTGTACTCCAGCCTGGGCGACAGAAAAAGATTCCATCTCAAAATCAATCAATCAATCAATCAATCTTGCTTTAAAGTAGAATTTTACTTCAATAATAGAGCAAGGTACAGAAGAATGTGTATAATAAATCACCATTTGTGTACAAAACAGAAAAGGAAAAACAACACAAACACATGCACTTGTTTGTATGTGCTCCGTCCGTGGAAGGATGTAGAAGAAAATGCTAACCTCACTTGCCTCTGAGGAGGGAAACTGGGCTAGGAAGCAGGGTAGGTGAGAGACTTCTGTACCTTCTGAGTTGTATAACTATGTGAATATCATGTTAAAAATATTTTTAATTAAAACAACATAGCTATTACTAAGCTTGAAGAGAAAGTTATCAATACTTAGTTTTCTTTCTTTTTTTGTGGGCGGGGAGGCAAGGTCTCACTCTGTCACCCAGGCTGGAGTGCAGTGGCACAATCATAGCTCACTACAGCCTTGACCTTCTGGGCTCAAGCAATCCCCCTGCCTGAGCCCCCTAAGTAGCTGGGACTACAGTCATGCACCACCACACCTGGCTAATTTTTTTTTATTTTTTGGAGAGATGAGGTCTCACTTTATTGCTCAGACTGGTCTTCTTTTTTCTTTTCTTACAGGCCATGCTAATTTTTTCTGTATCATTCCAATTTTGATGTCTGTGCTGCTGAAGTGAGCACTTATCAATACTCCTAAGTATTGGAGTGAAATCATAATTACCAGCAAATCTAATTCCTTCCAGTAATTATTATTGGCCACATCTATGTGACAAGTATCTACATTATTTAGAAAGCAAGATTAATCATAACTCAGTAGAGAATTTCAGGGCTAGAACTCTATGAATCATTTCATCTAAAGCATTATTTCATAAAGTTTTTTGCCTGGTTTGGCCCAGCAAATCATAGGAGGTCTATGGCTAAGCCCTATCATTTGTGAATTTAGAAACAGGTACTTTTTAAAATCTATTCAATAACTTAAATTTTAAAAAATGAAATTAAAATATTTCCATGTCCCCACAGTCCATTCCATCATCCCCCTCCGATTTCTCTCCTGTTTTCACATCAAACCCCTGGAGAGAAAGATCTATTCTTTTCCATCTTATCCTCCCTACCTTACCCTCAACCAACTCCATCTGGCTGCCACTCCTATTATTCCTCAAAACAGCTCTTGTTAGCGCTGCAACGGCCTCCATATTATACATTCAAAAGGCCTCTTTCAGTCTGACCTTGACTTCTCCAGCAGAATTCAATGCTATTAAACAAGTTCTCCTTTTTATAAAAAAATTCCTTTTTTAAAAGTTAATTTTTCTAAAAAGCCCATTGTTAAACTTTAAAAACATATGAAAAGATCAATGGTGGAAAGTAAGTCTTGCCCCAACCAGTTGCCTTCCCCGGGGAAACCAATACTTCCAGTCTCTTGTGATGTTTAATTAATTAATTAATTCATTCATTTAGCAAATATTTAATAAGCTTCTACTGTGTGCCGGGTACTATTCTAGCACCGGAGGGCGCAGTGGCTCATATCTACAACCACAGCACTTTGGGAAGACAAGGCAGGCCGGACTACTTGAGTCCAGGAGTTCGAGGCTAGCCGAGGCAACATAGCGAAATCCCGTCTGAAAAAAAAAAAGAGAGAGAAACAAAAATCCCTTCCCTGCTGGAGCTGACATTCTAAGCAGGGGAGACGGTCAATAAATAAGCAAATAAATGAGCAGTAAGAAGAAAACTAAAGCAGGGCAAAGAGGATAGGGAGGAACAGGATTTTATTTTATACAAAATATTTCATATAGAATGGTCTTTTGTTTTATATAAAATATTTCATATAGAAAAGTCTTTCTGGTAAGGTGATTTTTTTTTTTTTTAAGAGACAGGGTCTTACTCTGTCACCCAGGCTGGAATGCAGTGGTGCAATCCTAGCTCACTACAGCCTTGGACTCCTGGACTGAAGTGATCCTTCTACCTCAGCAACTGGCTAATATTAATTTTTTTTTTTTTTTTTTAGTAGAGACAGGGCCTCACTTTGTTGCCCAGGCTCATCTTGAACTCCTGGCTTCAAGTGATCCTCCTGCTTCAGCCTCCCAAAGTGCTGGGATTACAGGCATGAGCCACTGTACCTGGCCCTTTTTTTCTTTTTTTGAGACAGGGTCTGTCTCACTCCGCTGCCCAGGCTGCAGTGCAGTGGTGTGATTGTACTTCTCTGCAGCCTTAAACTCCTGGGCTCAAGCAATCCTCCCACCTTAGCCCTCCAAATAGCTGGGACTACGGACATGCACCATTAAATTAAAAAAAAAATATATATATATATACACACACACACACACACATAGTGATGTGGTCTCACTCTGTTGCCCAGGCTGGTCTCAAATCCTTGGCCTTAAGCTATCCTCCCACCTTGGCCTCCCAAAGTGCTGGGATTACAGGTGTGAGCCACTGTGCCTGGCCTGATAAGGTGATATTTGAGCAGAGACATTTAAAAAGTGAGAGAAGCAGCCATGTGGTTATCTACAGTCCAATATTCCAGCACAAGGGACAGAGGGGGAACATACTTGGTGTGTGTGAGTAACATGGAGGAAGCATGGCTAAGTGGCATGAACAAGAAGGTATGGTAGGTGCAGAGGGTGTAGGTGCAGCAGGTGGTAGGTGCACAGGGTGTAGGTGCAGTGGATGTAGGTTCAGTGGATGTAGGTGCAGACAGTGGTAGGTGCAGACAGTGGTAGGTGCAGAGCGTGTAGATGCAGTGGATGTAGGTACAGAGGGTGTAGGTGCAGTGGATGTAGGTGCAGTGGATGTGGGTGCAGAGGGTGTAGGTGCAGTGGATGTGGGTGCAGAGGGTATAGGCGCAGCAAGTGGTAAGTACAGAAGGTGTAGGTGGAGTGGATGTGGGTGCAGAGGATGTAGGTGCAGAGGGTGTAGGTGCAGTGGATGTAGATGCAGATGGTGTAGGTGCAGAGGATGTAGGCACACAAGGTGTAGGTGCAGTAGATATAGGTGCAGAGGGTGTAGGTGCAGTGGATGTAGGTGCATTGGACGTAGGTGCAAAGGGTGTAAGTACAGTGGATGTAGGTGCAGATGGTGTAGGTGCAGAGGAAGTAGGTGCATTGGATGTAGGTGCAAAGGGTGTGAGTACAGTGGATGTAGGTGCAGAGGGTGTAGGTGCAGCAAGTGGTAACTACAGAGGGTGTAGGTGCAGTGGATCTAGGTGCAGATGGTGTAGGTGCAGAGGGTATAGATGCAGTGGATGTAGGTGCAGATGGTGTAGGTGCAGATGGTGTAGGTGCAGAGGGTGTAGGTGCAGTGGATGTAGGTGCAGAAGGTGGAGGTGCAGTGGATGTAGGTGCAGATGGTGTAGGTGCAGAAGGTGGAGGTGCAGTGGATGTAGGTGCAGATGGTGTAGGTGCAGAGGGTGTAGGTGCAGTGGATCTAGGTGCAGATTGTGTAGGTGCAGAGGGTATAGGTGCAGTGGATGTAGGTGCAGATGGTGTAGGTGCAGAGGATGCAGGTGCAGAAGGTGTAGGTGCAGTGGATATAGGTGCAGATGGTGTAGGTGTAGATGGTGTAGGTGTATGGATGTAGGTGCAGAGGGTGTAGGTGCTGTGGATGTAGGTGCAGAGGGTGTAGGTACAGTGGATGTAGATGCAGAAGGTGTAGGTGCAGAGGGTGTAGGTGCAGTGAATGTAGGTGCAGAGGGTGTAGATGCAGTGGATGTAGGTGCAGAGGATGTAAGTGCAGCAAGTGGTAAGTGCAGAAGGTGTAGGTGCAGTGAATGTAGGTGCAGAGGGTGTAGGTGCAGTGGATGTAGGTGCAGAGGGTGTAAATGCAGCAAGTGGTAAGTGCAGAAGGTGTAAGTTCAGTGGATGTAGGTGCAGAAGGTATAGGTGCAACAGGTTGTAGGTGCAGTGGATGGCAGTACAGAGGGTGTAGGTGCAGTGGGGACCCAATCATTCAGCACCTCTATAGAAGTAATGGGATGGGATACATTTTGAAGATAGAGCAGACAGTATTTGCTGACTAGATATGGAATTTGGCAGGGGTAGGGGGAGAAGGCAGAGTCCAGAGTGACACCAAAGGTCTCTGGCCAGCACTGGAAAGACACAGATGCCATTATCTGAAATGGTAAAGATTTTGGAAGGAGCAAATCTGAGCTAACCTCAGGAGTTTAGCTGGGGGCATATTTAGCTTGAGGTGACCATCAGATTTCCAACTGGAGAAGTCTAATATTCTGTGCACATACAAGCAAACAGCCACATCAATATGCACCTAGAGTTTTGGTAACAGGTTTTGGCTGAGAAGAAAATTTGAGCATCATCAACATATACAGGTGTTTGAGGCCACAAAACAAGAGGAGATCAACTAAGAAGTTAAGACAGTTGACAGAAGCAGACACAGCAGAGAGAAGAGGTCCTACAGATAAGACTCAGCAGGAACAATCAGCAAGTAGAAGTATCATGGGGTGTCCACAGCCAAAGTGATCAACCATGTCAAATAATAGTGGACCACTGAATTCAGCAATGTGGGAGCCACTGGTGAACTTCGGAAGAACTGTTTAGTGGCATGATGAGGATACATCAAGAGCAATGGGTTCAAGAGAAAATGGAAGGAGAGGAGGCAAAGACAATGAAAATAAATGCCGTCAAGAGTTTCACTATAATAGGGAGCCAAAAAAATAGAGTGCCTTGAGGTGGGCACGAATCAGGAGAGTTGGTTTTGTTTTTTCAAGATGGGATATACTCTAACGTATCTGTATGCTGTGGTGGACAATGAACTGAGAGAGGAAAAGTTGTTAACACAGAAGAAAGACAATTGCAGAAAAATTCTGTCCCCTAGCCCCTTTTATTACACAGCAGGTAGTGAATACACACAGTGTTCTGAGCTTAGCTTTCTGTACTAAACATGGAAATTAATCTACTTCATTCTAGGTAGATCTGCCTCGTACTTTTTTAATTTTTAAAAAATTATATTAATTTTTTTTTTTTTTTTTTGGTAGAGATAGGGTCTCACTATGTTGCATGTTGCCCAGGCTGGTCTGAAAATTCCAGACTCAAGCGAACCTCCTGCCTCAAGCCTCCCAAAGTGCTTGGATTGGCCAGGCATGGTGGGTTACTCCTGTAATCCCAGCACTTTGGGAGGTCAAGCCCGGTGGATCACCTGAGGTCAGGAGATCAAGACCAGCCTGGCCAACACGGTGAAACTCTGTCTCTACTAAAAATACAAAAATTAGCCAGTGTGGTGGCGGGCGCCTGTAATCCCAGCTACTCAGGAGGCTGAGGCGGGAGAATCACTTGAACCTGGGAGGTATAGGTTGCAGTCAGCCGAGATCACACCACTGCACTCCAGCCTGGGTGACAGAGTGAGACTCCATCTCAAAAAAAAAAAAAAAACACAAAGTGCTGGGGTTACAGGCATGAGCTACCATGCCCAGCTGCCGTATATATTTCACAGTGTTCCATTCTGTGAAAGTACCATAGGCAGTAAGCCAGATATCTATGTTTAGCTTCCCAAGTTAGCGTTTAAGGAAAGTTGCTAAATTAGTGGCTGAGTGACACTTAAAAAGTTTTTCAATGATGAAAAATTTCAAACATATGCAAAAAAGAGAATAGTACAATGAGCCTCCATGTACCCATGATTCAGATTCAACTATTGCCACACCTGTTTAACCTAGCCTCCTATTTTTTCTTTTTTGCTCAACTATTTTAAGGTGAATCCCAGACATCACGCAATTCCATTTCTGAATATTCTGAATACTTCACTAAGCATCTTTAAAAATACGGACATTTTCTTATGTATTTCACCACCATACTTAAAAATTAGACTGAGTTCAGATGTGGGGACCTCACATCTGTAATCCCAACACTTTGGGAGACTGAGGCAGGAGGATCCAATGAGCCCAGAGTTCAAGACCAGCCTGGACAACATGGAGAAACCTCCCACCCCCGTCTCTACAAAAGATACCAAAATTAGCCAGGCATGGTGGCACGTGCCTGTAGTCCCAGCTACTTGGGAGGCTGAGGTGGGAGGTTCACTTGAGCCCAGGAGTCTGAGGCTGCAGTGAGCCGAGATCTAGCCACTGCACTCCAGGCTGGGTGACAGACAGACTCTGTCTCAAAAAACAAACAAACAAACAAACAAACAAACAAACAAAGTAAACTAAGACTAAGCCCCTTGGTTTCATCTAATATTCCTAATACTTTCATATTCAAATTATCTCCAAAAAGATTTTTTTAATTGGTTTGTTTTATTCAGACTCTGAATATTATTCAGAAGTTGTTCTTTTAATGTAGAGCAGGTTCCTTCCTCCTCAACTTTTTATTTCATGCCGCAGGCAGGGACTGTTTTTTAATTGTTCTATTTCCTCCAAGGCAGGTATCAGCTTTTGATTACATAACTATACGTCTAAATATATCTTTATGTTGTCTTCACAGTTGATTGACACTTTGGTTGAATATGTACTTCTAGGTTGAAAAACAATTTCTGGCAGGAGGCAGGGGACACTGAACTATTAAAAAGGAAGACCCAAGGCCAGGCACAGTGGCTCACGCCTACAAGTCCAGCACTTTGGGAGGCCAAGGGGGTGGATCACTTGAGGTCAGGAGTTTGAGACGAGGCTGGCCAACATGGTGAAACCCCGTCTCTGCTAAAAATACAAAAATTAGCTGGGCATGATGGCCTGTAGTCCCAGCTACTAGGGAAGCTGAAGCAGGAGAATCGCTTCAGCCTGGGAGGTGGAGGTTGCAGTGAGCGAGATCATGCCACTCCACTCCAGCCTGAGTGACAGAGGAAGATTCCATCTCAAAAAAAAAAAAAAAAGAAAGAAAGAAAAAGAAAGAAACAAAAACAATTTCCCTCAGAATTCTGAAAGTACTGCTCCATTTTCGCATCCAGGAATGCTATTGGATAGCCTGGTGCTTTTCGAATTGCTCAACATTTGTATATTATTTTTTTACATTTCTGGAAGCTTTAGAATCCTCTTTTATCCTTGGTAATCTGAAATTTCATGATGGTGTGGGCATTTTGCATTAACTATGTCAGACACCTTTTAATCCAGATACCAACGTCCTTCAGTCTGAAGTCTTTCCTGTATTGTTTCTTTTTTCTTTCCGAGACAGGTTCTCACTCTGTCACTCATGCTGGAATGCAGTGGTGCAATCACAGCTCACTGCAGTCTTGACCTCCAGGGCTCAAGCAATCCTCCTGCCTCAGCCTCCCGAGTAGCTAAGACTACAGGAGTGTGCCATCATGCCTGCATAATCTAAAAAAAATTTTTGTAGAGGTGGCATCCCACTATGTTGCTCAGGCTGGTCTTGAACTTCTTGGCCCTACTAGCATTATAGGCATGAACTACTGCACCCAGCCTGTATTACTTCTTTTTCTTTTTCTTTTTTTTTTGAGATGGAGCCTCGCTGTGTCGCCCAGGCTAGAGTGCAGTGGCACAATCTCGGCTCACTGCAACCTCCACCTCCCAGGTTCAAGGAATTCTCCTGCCTCAGCCTCCCGAGTAGCTGGGACTACAGGTGCCTGCCACCATGCCCGGCTAATTTTTTTTTTATTTTTAGTAGAGACGGGGTTTCACCATCTTGGCCAGGCTGGTCTCGAACTCCTGACCTTGTGATCCACCCACCTCGGCCTCCCAAAGTGCTGGGATTACAGGCATGAGCCACCACGCCCGGTCGTACTTTTTTTTTTTGAGATGGAGTCTTGCCCTGTTGCCCAGGCTGGAGTGCAATAGCGCGATCTCAGCTCCGCCTTGGTGGAGCCTACCAGGTTCAAATGATTCTCCTGCCTCAGCCTCCCTAGTAGCTGGGCTTTACAGGTGCCCACCACCATGCCCAGCTAATTTTTGTATTTTTAGTAGGGACAAGGTTTCACCACGTTGGCCAGGCTGGTCTCGAACTGCTGACCTCATGATCTGCCCACCTCAGCCTCCCAAAGTGTTGGGATTACAGGTGTGAGCCACTGCACCCAGACCTCCGCCTGTATTATTTCTTGATCATGTCATCCTCTTTATTTTCTGTTCTCTTTTTGGAACTCCTATTAGCAAGATTTTAGATGGATGGCTCCACCACATCTTTTATCTTTTCTCTCATATTTACTGTTCTTTATCTACTTGTCCTTTCTGAAATATTTCTTAACTCTTTCGATAATCATAGTTTTAATTTTCTCTTTCCCTGATAATTCCTTTTTGAGGCATCCTGTCCTGTTTTATAATATGAATGCAATATCTTCACATATCTCACAGAGCAGTTGGTGCTTATGTGAAGTTTTACTCTATTTCTTCAGCTAGCTGTTTTTTTTTTTAAGGAAAATTTGTATTATTTTCATTATTTTTATGTACAGAAAACTCAACAGTATACATTTAACCCAGTTTAGTGGCAAGTTCTTTAGCCTTTGCCTTTTCGAGCTTGGCAATGCAAGCCACAGACTTGGGACCCAAGATATTGCCTCCCCAGTGACAGCAGATCTCATCGTATCTGTCATTGTCATTGGTCCTGATACCTTCCACCAGCTTAGCCAAAGCGCCTTTGTCTTCCAAGTTCACCTGTGTGAAGGCGACAGTGGTGCAGGTCTTCCTGTGGACTAGACGGCCCAGTCTTGCCTTCCCCTTGATAATGCAGTAAGGGACTCCCATTTTACAACACAGGGCAGGCAAGAAGACAACCAGCTCGATGGAATCCACATCGTGTGCAATCACCACCAGCTGAGCTTTCTTGTTCTCCACCAAGGTGGTGATGGTGTTAACTCCTGCTCGAAGGGCAGGTGGTCTCTTAGTGGGGACGCCCCCTTTGCCAGCAGCTTTCTTCTCAGCCTGGGCCAACAGCCTCTGCTTCTTCTCTTGCTTTGTCTCTGGTCTGTATTTGTGGGCCAGCTTAAGCAGTTGAGTAACTGTTTGGCAGTTCAGGGCCTGGGTGAACTGGTTAATAGCAGGAGGCACTTTCAGCTGCTTATAGAGGATGGCTCTCTGCTGCTGCAACCTGACATAGCGGGCCATTTCACAAAGTAGGTGAGTTCTCTTTTGGGCTGGATGTCCTGTCCAATACCAAAATTCTTACGCCTTTTCTCAAACAGGGAATTCACCACTTTCTTGGCCTCCTGCTTCTTCACAACAGCAGGGGCCGGGGCCACCTTCTTCCCCTTGGCCTTCTTTCCTTTCAGCGTCTTGGGCAGTGGGAGGCCAGTTAGCTGTTTTTTAACTTTTTCTCATTTTTAATCTTCATATTAGAAGCTTTCCTCACTTTTCTAATGATCCTTGGTAGTCTGCTCTTTTTGTTTAATTTTAAAACTTTTTATTAGGGAAAATTTTCAACACACACAAAAGAAAAAAGAATAGAACAATGAGCTTCCTATGTGCTGAACCCCTGGCTTCAATCATTAGCACTATTTTTTTAACCCATTTGCCTCCCCTCCATACACATACCTCTCCAAAGTTTGGAATTTTGTTTGTTTGGGTTTTTATTTTGTCTGCTCTTTTTTTTTTTTTTTTTTTTTAACAGTTCAGCACTAATCAGGAATTCTGTGGACAGGGTTGAGTCTTGCTTGCTGGAAGACATCACTTGTGGGTGATTCACCAGGGAGGCAAGTCTTTTTCCTAGATGACCCCAACATCAGTATGAGAGGTCTTTTTTCCAGGGTCATTCAGTTTCTTCAGAAAATAACTAAGTCTTGGGCCTGGACAGCCAGCATCTGAATGCAAATGTGTGAACAGGAAGGGGGCCTGCAGGCCCTTATGTAAACTCACGGTCTACCACCTTGTCTCACAATGGCTGTGTACCACATCTGATGTCCCAGTTGCTAACATGCTCTAAGGCTGGTGGGGTGAGTCATCTCTCTTCCTCTGGGTATTCCCCTAAACGTATACTTGGCTTTCTCCACACGGAAGTATGAGAAAGGATACTACACTCTCCATCTTATCTTCTAAAAGTAGGGGGATAAGAGATACTGCCTAGAGTTCATAAAGAAGAAATAAAGGTTTAACTGTAAATTACAAAGATAACTAAAAGAAAAACTAAAACAAAGGAAATCAATATGCTAGGCGGAATCAGAAAAGAAAGAGGGAGGCCAGGTGTGGTGGCTCAGGCCTGTTATCCTAGCACTTTGGGAGGCTGAGGCATGCTGATCACTTGAGCTCAGGAGTTCGAAGCCAGCCCAAGCAACATGGTGAAACCCTGTCTCTACAAAAAAACACAAAAATTAGCTGGGTGTGGTCATGCACGCCTAAGTCCCAGCTACTTGGGAGGCTGAGGTGGGAGGATCACCTGAGCCCAGGAGGTTGAGGCCACAATGAGCCATGACTGTGCCACTGCATTCCAGCCTGGGTAACAGAGCAAGACCCTCTCTTTCTCTCTCAAAATAAAAAAAAAAAAGAAAAAAAAAAGGAAGGAAAAAAAGAAAAGAGGGAGAATTGAGACAAACTCTCATCTATCACAGCAAAAAAGAAAGAAAAATCAACTTTGTTTATATCTGGCGTTCATAAATCAAGAAATAGCAATATAAGCGTTTTACTTAGGGATATGAAGGTCACCACCAGAAGAATGTGATTGCCTGAGGAGCATGCTGGGATTGGAGGAGTGGGGCAAGGGTCTCCTGTTTTTCATTATGAGCCTGTATCCAAAAAGAAAAAAGTGTGTGGATTTTTTTGATACAATTTTTTCTTTTAATTAAAAAAAAGCATATCAGAGAATCAGGGAATTCTTCAATGTTCCCATTATTCTTAGGCTAAAGACCTAATTTTTTTTTTTTTTTTTTTTTTTTGAGACAGGGTCTGTCTCTGTCACTCAGGCTGGAGCACACTGGTACAATCAGGGCTCACTGTCACCCCAATCAACCTTCTGGTCGACCTTCCAGGCTGAAGTGATCCTACTGCTCAGCCTCCTTAGTTGCTGGGACTACAGGCACATGCCACAACACCCAGCTAATTTTTGTATTTTTTTGCAGAGACGGGGTCTCGCTATGTTGCCCAGGCTAGTCTCTGACAGAGCAGGAGCACCGTCATCTCAGACAAACACTGCCACTTTAAGTTCCAGCTCCCTTTTTAAAACTCCTGGGCTCAAGAGATCCTCCCATCTCAGCCTTCCAAGCACTGGGATTACAGGCATGAGCCACTGTGCTCAGCCAAGACCTAAATGAAAATTCCTTAAACAGCTGGTAAGTCTCTTTAAAAACCAATTAAAAAAAAAAAAAAGCTTTTCTGACAATTATGAACACATGTTCAATCTGTAGCAGACCAATTCAAAGATTCACTCTGGCAGGGACATTTTGTAAGATAATGGTTAGAGGACACTGTGAGATTCAATAGAAAAATAACCTGCACAGTTAAAGGTTACGAGACTCCTGATGGATAGTCTGCTGCTGGGTTGGATGACTGGCTTCCCAGAACATGTTTTAATCCTGTTAAAATTTATTAGAAAATTGCTTCGGTGTTTTTGTTTTTGTTTTTTTACAGGAATGCTAATTTCTTCCCAGAAGGAGACTGTAAATTACCTCATGAAAAAAGGTTTTGTCACAGACCTGGCTTGGGGCAATTTGTTCTTTTATAAGTCTCTACAAATCCTACCTAGACCGGCTCTGTCCAATAGAACATTCTTCATGATGGAAATGTTCTATATCTTTGCTGTTCAACGAAGAAGCCACTAGCCATATGGCTACTGAGCACTTGAACTGTGGCTAATCAAGCTATGCAACTCCAGTTTTAATTTTATTAAATTTCAAGTGAAATTTAAATAGCAACGTATGGCTAGCAGCCACTGTGCAAGACGGTGTGGATCTAAAGCGCCGTGGCTCCCAGCTGCTTCTTGCCCCAAGCCCTCCTCCTCTCTCTGCATTCCAGCCACTCTGGCCCACTTTTTCTCCCTAAAACATGCTGCCTCCTGCCACAGACACTTTGCACGTGTGGTATCCTCTTTCTGGAATGTTCTTCCCTCACCTACTCCCCAGCCTCTTCATCTGGTACATGACTACTTTTCCTTCACTAATTACGATTATCTCGTGCGCTTATTTGCTCACTTGTTTATGGTTAATCTTTATGCCTCTCCACCATCATCAACCCACCCAACTCTGGAGCCTGAATACACATCACATTTGGGCAAGAACCCTGCCCACCCTGCCCATCTCTGTACTCCCACCACCTAGACAGAACACACTTGGCTCTCAGTGAGCATTTGGCTAATATCTAAAAGGTAAGTGACATGTCACAATGTTGTTATCTCTCTCAGAGACTCCCAATTTCTATCTGTAGACCCATTCTTGCTACTGTAATGTTGCCCCACATTTCCAACAGACTGTGAGCATTTCTACTTAAATACCCTTCTGTCTACACATTAAATAATGTTATCTCCAGTCATCAGATTAACATTCAGAAAGCTTGGCTCTACTTATTGTCATACAACTCCAAACAAAGAAACCTTCAAAGACATCTAAGAGAAAAATCAATTTTAAGGAAACACTGAACACACTATACACGCTGCAAGGTTCTTAGGCCCTTTGCACACCAATATAAAAAGAAAGCAAACAGAAATGTTTCTGCAAAGATACAAGCGAGAAAGTTCAAACTTACCACAAGTTCAAAAATGTCCATGAAGACAGAATGTCCCTTCGGTGTTTTCTCATTCAGGCTGGCAGGAGACCAGATCCAATAGAAGTAAGTGCCATCTGAAGACAGGTGCACAGTGCTCATGGTGCTGCCAATGGGGAGGTGATTGGCTGGCATTGGCACCACCTGGCACACCTGGGCATGAAAGGGAGGAAATCTCCATTAGAGCCACATATAAATTCTGATTAATCCTATCAGCTCATCATTAATGCCATTATGCCCAAGATGAGAATTCACTAGGCTTTCTGGTCAAAATAAAATGGATATTTATCTCTAATAATAACATACACAAATTACATGGCAAAAATATAAAAGTTCATACAATGGGCAATAGAATAAATATGAACAGCCATGCAACAGATGAAAAGGTTCTTGGGATCAATTCAAATTACTTTTTAATAGGAAAAAGTATTTACTAAACACTTTGAATCTGTTATGCATATGTGTTGTATCTAACACTTATTAAAAACAAAGTTTTAGAGAAGCAACACTTTCTGAAATTTCTTTAGTAAATGAATTTATGATAATTTTATTTAAAGGACAAGAACTGTGTCTTATTCACCTCTATATCTCCAGTACCTAACGGAAAGCCTAACTCAAAGTTATTTAATGAATATGAAAAGAAGGAAAAAAGAGACAGCAAAAGAAAGCCAAGAGGAAAAGCTGAGAAGAGGGAGAAGGAGAAACAAAGTAAAAAATATAAAGGCCCATGACAGATCCTAACTTAGCATATGAGGGCTTACTGAAATTCACCAAGTCCATCAGGAGGAAAAGACAAACACCAATTCTGTATATTAAACATGAAGGCATGTGTTTCTAATACTAAACATCCTTCTGTTTCAGCATAATGAATAAGCTTTGCATCATTTCACATTAAATGTGTAGCTACATACTAATTTTTACTGCCAAAGACAGGCACTTAAAATGACTGAACATTAGAACCACAAAAACCTGCTGGCTAGGTTTAAAAAAAAAATCCAGAAATAGAAGAGCTGAGAAACTCAAAATAAAAATAATTAGAGAAAGTCAGATGCCTTCAGAGAACAGTGAGAACAATGTTCAATTTCCCATTACTTTGGGAGGGGGCACTAGTTTTCCCAAGGCGATCTCTGACCCCTCAATTGATTTCACATGAACTTTTTTCCAGACCTGTTTTGTCTAGCTCAAAAGTAAAAACTCATTTAGTTGATGTAACCATACTTTGAACCTACAGTGCCAGGAAGACTAGAAAGTTGACAGCTACTAATTGGCCTGTGCTATCCCCAAAGTGCTCCATTGCAATGCACATATCTAGTTTGTGACCTACAGCCCTGCTTTCTTGGACAGTGTCAAAGTTTCTGCAACAACACTGAGGAACCTGGCACTACTTCAAATGTAAATCATGTTTTGAGATTTAACATCTGTTTAACTACCAGTCTTATAACTTCTATTTCAAATGAGTATGAGACATTCTCATCTGTCTGCACTTGTGACAAGAAATTAGGTTAATTGGGCATCTATTTGTTAATTTGTTCATTTTATTCATCCAACAATTATTGAGCACCTACTATGTGCTCTGGAGATGACAGTGGTGAACAAGACTCAGTCCCTGTTCTCTAGGACAGGCAGTTGAGTGACAAACAAGAAGAAATGTAACATTACACTTAATTTCTAGATGTGACTACTCTTAGAGCACTCACTCCACAGACGCCAACTCTAATCATTTAATCCAACTTTGTTTGAAAGGCAGAAAGTTGCAGTGTAAAGAGTTCAAAGTACTGGGCAGAGAACCAAAGGTTCAAGTTCTGGTGCCGCTACTATTGGCTGTATGGCCTTAGGCAAGTTACTTAACCTCTCTGAGCTGTATTCTTACACTCAACAATAAACACTTGCTGAATGCTTACTAGGTGCCTAGCCTCAGTTTCCTTATCTGTAAGATAAACCTACATAGTAATGCCTCACAGGTAGGAAGAGGAAGTGTATGTTAATTGCCTAGGCCAAGGCCTAGCACATAGGAGATGCTGAGGAATGGTAGTTACCATCATTGTTATTATTATCAGTCAAATGTCTGGCAGTGTGTTATGTTCTAAGGATACACAGATGAGTAGGACAGGGTCCATACCTAAAGGTGTGCATGGTCAGTGAAGTCAGACAGAAAAGCAGGTAACTGCAGTATAATACAGCAAGTGCCATGGCAGAGTGCTTACGAGAGCACTAAAGCCAAGCTCTCAATCCCTAGCACACAATGATTTTACTCTACACTCATTTCAAAGCTCCCTTTCCCACAGAGAGGCTGTTTAGAACAAATTGAATAAGGAAATGATGCCTTCCCAAAATAGATCTGGTTCAAAAAAAGCAAAAAAAAAAACAAAAACAAAACAAAAAAAAAAAACCAGCTAGTATTTATACCATCTTTGACTGTCTAGAATTTTTTCTTAATTATAAAAAAAAGTTTGTTGTAGGCTGCAGAAACTTAGAGAACACATTCACTCAGTTCATATGGGAAAAGTCTAAGACATTAAATAAAAAACAGA